>NC_000012.12:67611643-67763158 GCF_000001405.40 Homo sapiens
GAATTTGTATGCTGTGATTTATCAAAATGTAGGAATAAAAAATTGTATATTTAGATTTTCATAGAGAAGTGTTGAAATTACTACTCCTTGGGAACCAGGAACATTTGGGACTCTTTGTGAAGGGCTATTTGTTATCCTAAAATTAGATCTCAAAATCAAATTTCCTGAAACATAAAGTCAAGGGGGTTGTGAATTTCAAATTTTGGCAGCTTGTGAAGCACACAGGTATTTTGTGATGACTTTTAATTTAGATCTTGCAAAAGGAGAGTAGGGATTTAAATCTAATTAATTTTTTATCTCTCTCTCTCTCTTTTAACTTGTGGAGTCTTTTAAATGGTAAATAAAGTTTTCAGAAGAGGAAGAAGAAGATCTCTGCTCCAAGATTGCTTTCCTCAACTTCTCAGGGGAACTTTTAAATCATTCCCTGTGTTTCTAACTGCTGCCAATTCCTAGAAATTCCCAGGTTTTAGAAATAAATCCAAGAAACCAATCTGGAGAGGAGAAAGAAAGGTGTCTGTGCTGAGTGCACTTGAAACATAATAGCATAATAGCAGTCATTTAGAGAATGCAAATGTGGAGGTTGATGCTTTACCTGTCCTGATTCATATGACCCTGCAACCACTCTGCCAAGGGGCCACCTCTATTTTCAGAGGAAAAAACTGGCATTCAGTTTGGAATATGCCTAAGGGCACACAGCTAGTATGTGGCTAAGGAGTTGAATCTGCATCTGTCTGATCCTAAAGCCCCAACTTCACAACATGATGCTTTCACAGTTTTTTAGTTTGACCTTCACACTCAGTGTCCACAATATAAGCAGAGGAGAATAGGTGAGGTTCTTGTTCCATTCCCTAAATAGAGACTCTCTGAAAAAAGCAAAGAAGTGAGCCCCTCATGGCATAATTTAAGGCAAGGGTCCCCAACCCCCTGGCCGAGGACCAGTACTGGTCAGTGGCCTGTTAGGAAGTGGGCCGCACAGCAGAAGGTGAATGGCGGCAAGCAAGCATTACCACCTGAGCTCCGCCTCCTGTCAAATCCGTGGTGGCATTATATTCTCATGGGAGCAGGAACCCTATTGTGAACTGCACATGTGGTGGTCTGGTTGCATGCTACTTATGAGAATCTAATGCCTGATGATCTGAGGTGGAACAGTTTTATCTTGAAACCATCCCCATCCATCCATGGAAAAATTGTCTTCAATGAAACTGGTCCGTGGTGCCAAAAAATTTGGGGAGCACTGATTTAAGCGATACCCTCTTCTGGTCTAAAATATTCGCGTTTCCCTCAATCTACGAAATGGCTATGCACATACACAGTACTGGACATTCTGCCATTACATATTCAATTGTTTGAGTTAAATATTGCTTTTTCTTGGTTTCTCTTTTTAAAAGGCAAATACACCCAAGAAAGGGGTGACCTACTAAATTAAGACCATAGTCTTTATAATCACATACTCTTTCCCTTCTCAGAAGAAGTTGGGGTATTCTAAGATACTAAAAAACGAATTATATACTGGATGGATTCACAGCCTGGGGTTGTGAATTGCTAAGGGTACAGGGATAAGGCAGCTAGGAAATTCGTAACTAAGAAGAAAGTGATTAGTAAGCTAGTTTCGATATTAAAACAGAAATTATATGTTCACTGGCAAAAGGCTTCACACTTTTAACAAAAGCCCTTAGTTATTGTCTAGCTTTACATTGAAATAACAGTGTAATGAAATATTTTCCTGGAATCCCAGGGGGTGAACACTGGGGACCCAGCTCAAGCAGGAAAGCTCAGAAAGGAAGGGGCTGCACATGTGGTGGGCACATACTGCTCAGACACCATGCCGGGGGCTTCATAGATCTCATTGAATTCCATTATCACAATGGCCCCAAAAGAGAGGTTATTAGACCCTCTACGCAGATATTATTAACAGTAGCCATCGACATCTCTGATTTTAAAAAGATGCAAAAGCCAATTCTATGTACATATCATTTTATAGACAAAAATAAAACCGATGCTAGTTTGGGCGTCACTGGCATATGGAAAAGTACTGAATTTAAAGCAGAAAACCTGTTTTCAAGCCCTGTGCTTGCCAGTAACGAGTTGTGCAACTCTAAGCCAGGCTTAATTTAAGCCTCAGTTTCCTCATCTATAAAAAAGGGATATTCATAATGTATCTTACCTAACTTCAGATAAATTAGCTCATGCAGTTCGTTTGGGGTAACGATTCATGACAGGTACCCAGGGGAAGAGGCTGGAGAAGAGGGGAACAGATTGTGAATTATGAAAACTGAGCCTCAGAAGAAACTCTTGGCCTATTTCAGTTTTGCTCAAGGACAGCCCCCCGCCGTCCGCCACCTCAAATATCTTCTCTATCTCATATACAGTATTACAGTTTCTTATCCAACTCTGTCAGATTTCTATGAAATTGCCATAAATCCTAAGATTAAAAAAAGAAAAGAAATGCTTACATTCTTGCTATTAAGATCTCGAAAGTGTGTCTGCCACTTTATATCAACAATTAAACATACAGAATCCCTGGATTAGCTAGAGGGAACATCAGGTAAACACAGGCAAAACACCTGTGAATAGAAATCAAAACGATTTCGGTAGGCTGAGTAACTCGATTACACTGAGAACCTTGATTCCTCACTAAAAGAAGAAAATGGGACAAAAACAGGAAATCATCAAAAGGGACATGCAAGGAGATCAGCCAAACAGTAGACATTTTCCTGGCACAAAGCAGACACTCAATATTTGATGAAATTTATAAGTAATTTTGAGGCTAACTCCTTCAGTCCTGAACATTTAAGGCTTAAAGCTAAAATCCTGTCCTCCATGTCTTCCCTGTGGCTAAATGGGGAGATTAAGTTTTTCTTGAATATTTCTGTAATGGTTTCCCATAGCCAGCTGCTCTCTGGAAGAGGTCAAGGTGGCTGCAGTGATATGAAGTTGTCCCTTGAATCCAGACCTGGCAATTCTAAAAGGCAGTTTAGAATGTAAGCATGTAACTACTCAGCTGTAATCCTGGTGTCAGTGGGGGGCTGTGGTCATCTGAGGCTGGAAAGTCCACTTACGTGGCAGCTGGCTCATCTTCCAGGTTCATAATGGACCAATCACCTAAAAGAAACCTAGGAAGGTAAGTGATTTCCAGGCTAAGTAAGGAGTTTAATTTAACAGAAAAGTGGTGCTCCTACCTGCCCCTCCGCCATCCAGTATTATACTTGTGATAGTATTGTGCCCTTTGACTTGGGAGTGCTCTGAAGGGAGAATTGTCTTGCTGGAACAGGTGTGGAGTTCATACCATGGCCTTCATTGCTTGAATGAAGGAGGCTACATGTCTGTGGGACAATTGGAAGGAAAATCTAATGTCTGGCCCCACAGAAGTGCAGACTGTGAAATAAAATAGAAAATTTGTATCAAGTGTTCCAATTCCTGGGAGAAGAGGGCACTGGGCAAATTACTTAAAAGTGCAGAAAGGTGTGGAGAATGAGAAACAATCCTTGGGGGAAAGAACTGCTCACCTGAGGGAACTAAGTGAGCACTTTTAGGAAACTACCTTTCTAGAGAACTAAGCACAGGTCCTGGAAGTGTTAGTGTGGCTTGATTTCTAGAGACTATTCAGAATTCCGACCACTGTAATCAGAAGGCTTTGAAACCCACTCTATCGAAACAGTGATTTGAATTCCCACATACTCAGCTTGCTTTTGAGGGAGGTTTGGTCAATTTGGGGCTTTAATTTTGTATATGGGCCACCAAGGTGTAGAAAACTAAGCCAGCTGTGGAATGAGAGCTCCCAAGAGAAGGAAGACCTACGGGGGATGCTTTGAATTCATTGAACACAACTGTCTCATAGTGAAATGGAGCTCTGAAAACACTGATTTTCCAAGGTTTCAAAAGCAAAGACTTAATTAGAAAAAAATGCACGTGTTCTTAAAATAACCAATACTCATTTTTTTTTCTAGTAATAACATTAAACTGCTTATCTTTAAATGGTTAAAAAGCTTCCTTTATTTAAAAAAATAGAGATTGTTGTTTGTTTATTTATTTGTATTAAGCCTGACACGGAGGCAGGATATCAGTAAACAACATAACCAGAGGAATGGTATATACCAAACGGGGGGAAAAATGGTGTCCTTCTTCTGCCTCTAATGCCTGTGTGCAGGTTTGAGCAAATTGATCCGGAGTCATAAATTAGCATCTGTTCTCTTCCACACTTCCTTGTAAGGACACCTGGAGGTATATAAAATTTAGATGCTTACATATACATTTTTTTTCTTGTTGACTTTTACTTGAAATATTTGTCCTGTGAATCTATTCTTTAACAACAGTGCTTTTAAGATCTAGTCCATCTTAAGGGTCACTATAAAGCCAGTCTCATTAATAATTTGGTAAATGTTAAAATATTCTATAGTTAGCAGCAAATAGACTGTTACTAACTTATTTTATGCAGATTAACAGCAAACTGATGGCATTGGTTTGGCATCTAGAAAATTGGTTATTGTCTTTAATTAAGGTATTTGGTCTATAGTGTATCCCTATATTTATTTTATACCATTGGCTAGGTCGAAAGATTTCGCTATTTTTCAACTGCTTAGCTATACTCTGAATATATTTCTTTTTTATTTAAAAATAATGTTGAAAGTTTACATACAGAAAATATTACATAGATTTATATATTAAAATACATAATTTTTATTAAAATAGAAAAACATTAGAAATATTAGACATATTTATTATAAATGCTATGTATAAAAATGTAATAAAAAATAAACCCCTGTAGGACCTCACCATTCAAAGATAATCGCTGTTCCCAATTATATATTTCCACTTAGTTTTCATTTCTATCACATATTATTTGTACATGACCGAGACCATGTGTCTGAACCTTGTTTGCATCAAATGTCTCATTATGTTGTAAGTATTTTCCCCACATCATTAATTTTTTCATAGAATGTTTAATGTTATATAACATTTCTCAATATGGATTTAAAATATTTTGTTTAACCTTCCTTCTTTTGCAAGGTATATACTTTTTCTGTATTTAAAATAATGCTGCAATTCAACTTTTTTTTTCCACTATTTTCTAAAGAAACTTTTCCAGGAGTAAAAAGTACAGGAATATGCGATCCTTTTTTATGTTTATAGTCTGTACTGTCACATTGCTTTTCTGATCCACTGAAAATATCAGCAATGTGAGAATTTCCCTATTCCCACTCCCAAGCAGTTCAAGACCGTGTCTCACTAAATGCCTATATTTTCACCCAAATATTCTAATATTCTTCTATTTTTCCTTTTCCTTGTTTTTTCTCCTCTTTTAAATTCACTTTAAGTATCTCATTACTACTTTAAATTTCTTTGGTTACTAGGGCAGCTAAAACGTTTTTATCAGATTTATTAGCCATTTATGGTCTTCTTATATAAAATGTTTTCTGCAGTTTGCTTTTGAAATAGCCCCTATGTGACTTTCCCTTCTGGCTGGTGTCAAAACATTTCTATGACCAATTCTAATAAATTTACTCATTGCCTTTTGATTCGGTAAAAATTGACAAGAATCCAGAAGTGATGATCTCTTGAATGTTGTTATTATTCCAAAGGTCCACATAGAACATTTGATTCAAAGAGGCAGTAACATTTTGTAGGACCATTATATAGCTATAATTATAAATTCTTATATCACATCCTGAATCTTGTGTCCCTTGTTATAAGAACTCATTTAAAGTAATATTTAAAATCAGAATTTAAGTTACATTTTTTTCTTTATTCCATCTTAGGACAGTATCCTAAATATCAGCTTGGCTGTGAATTTTGAGAAATTCCTAGCCACAGGTCATAATGTTCCTGTGTGCCAAGATAAGTTGGCTGAGAAATCCTAGATAAGATTCAGACATACATACAGGATGAGACTTTTCATTTGGCACAGAATTGGCTGCACGAGAAAGTATTCAGGGGATATGAACAAGGAAACTACCAATTTAAAAAGATCATCTTCTTATTTACTAAAATAGAGCTTGTTCCCCAAATAGGCCTATCTATTCAAAATGTAAGCCAAATCATGCTACTTCTCTGCCCAGGATGCTGTACCGGCTCACTGTTTTACTTGGAATAGAAATTAGGCCCTACACAGCCTTTCCCCAGCGTGCTCATCTCTGCCATTTCCTCCCTGCCTTCACCTTCTCTATCCCCTTCATTCTCTCTGCTCCAGCCACCCTGGCCTCTGTGGCATTCTTGGAATAAGTAAACTATCTGGCCTTTATATTAGCTGTTCTTTCTGCCTGGGTGTTCTTCCCCAAGACACTCGCAGGGCAAACCTGCTTACTCCTTCAAATACTTACTGAAATGTCACCCTCTCAGTGAGGCCTAGCTGACTCTTTTATTTCAAATTGCAACCTATACCCTCTTTTACAAGAACAGTAAGGAAGAAACAAATGACTATTTTCTCCTGCTATCCTCTCAACACAGATCACTTCTGATCACTGAGATGTGTGGGATTTTCCCCCACGCCAAGCGATTCACCAGCAGACACCAACTGGGTGTCCTATAATTTAATTCAATTCTGACACTAACTGGAGTTACTGCAGACCCCACAGGTTAAGAGCTTGTCCCATGAAACTGCCCTCCACTTCAGATACCAATCCCAAGTCTCAGGTTCTGTTCTATACTTCTGACCAACTAGCTACATATCGGAGGTTCCCACAATCCCCTGTGGGGTTCAATAATTTGCTAGAACAGCACATTTTTTTGTGTGTGAGCCCAGAAATGAGGGAAACACTTTGCTTATGTTTACCCATTTATTATAAAGGATATTACTAGGGGTACAGACGAATAACCAGAGGAAGAGGCACATGAGGTGAAGTATGTGGGAAGGGGCACGAAACTTTCAGTTCCTCTCCAGTCATGCCATCTTCCTCACACCTCTACACATTCAACAACACAGAAGCTCCCTGAAGCTCAGAGTTCAGGGATTTTTATGAAGGTGTAATTGATTATTACCTGAATCTCCAGGCTCTCTCCCCTTCCCAAAGGATAAAGGAAGTACTGAAAGTTCCAAGTTTCTGATCAAGGCTTGGTCTTTCTGGTGAAGAGTCCCCATCCAAGAGCCCATCAAAAGTTACCTCGTTAGAACAAAAGACACTCCTATCACCCAGGAAATTCCAAGAGATTAAGATTCTGTCAGGAATGTGACCAATGACCAAATATTAGAACAAAAGATTCTTCTAGCATCCCGATTGCTCAGGAAATTATAAAAGTTTTAGAAGCTCTGTGCCAGAAACCAGGGGCAGAGACCAAACATATATTTCTTATTTTATCACAATATCAGACTGTCAATTCTGAGCCCCCTTACCTTGCTTTGCTTTTCTCCCCATAACAATGATCACCAATCATATGGAAAGACTTATTTATTATGTTTATTATCAGTTACCTTTTTAGAATGCAAGTTACAGTAGGGCAGGAATGTTTTGATTGTTGTTTACCAACATGTGTCTCAGCAGCTTAAAACAGTGCCTGGCAAATAGTAGATATTCAAGAAGTATTTGTGAAATTAGTTAAAAATGTCTTTAAGGGGCTGGGCACCTTGGCTCATGCCTGTAATCCCAACACTTTGGGAGGCTGAGGCAGGCAGATCACCTGAGGCCAGGAGTTCGAGACCAGCCTGGCCAACATGGTGAAACCCCGTCTCTGCTGAAAATACAAAAATTAGCCAGGCATGGTGGTGGGCAACTGTAATCCCAGCTACTTGGAAGGCTGAGACAGGAGAGAATTGCTTCAACCCGGGAGGCAGAGGTTGTGGTGAGCCAAGATCGCACCATTGCATTCCAGCCTGGGCAACAAGAACAAAACTCTATCTAAAAAAAAAAAATTCTGAAGAAAAAATACAGATGGCAAGTATGCTGTAGATGGTATTTGAATGGCTATCTAGAAAAAGCATGTAAGCTAATTTAGTCTTATATCACCTTTGTGATAATATAGACAATATTGTTTATTTGTTCATTAAATAGACATTTATTAGTCATGGGCTATGTATCAGCAATGTGTTAGACAGCAGGGATATAAGAGGGAGAAAACATAATCTCTGTCTTCAATGACTATATACTAGCAGCATGTAAGAGAGTGTCTGTAGGCCTGGCATGGTGACTCATGCCTCTAATCCCAGCACTTTGGGAGGCTGAGGCGGGCAGATCACCTGAGGTCAGGAGTTCGAGACTGGCCTGGCCAACATGGTGAAACCCTGTCTCTACTAAAAATACAAAAATTAGCCAGGCATGGTGGTGGGTGCCTGTAGTCCCAGCTACTTGGGAGGCTGAGGCAGGAGAATCGCTTGAACCCAGGAGGTGGAGGTTGCAGTGAGCCGAGATCATGCCATTGCACTCTAGCCTGGGCAACAAGAGTGAGAGTCTGTCTCAAAAAAAAAAAAAAAAAAAAAAAAAAAAAGGAGGGTGTCTGTAATAGTCAATTTGCATCAATTTGACTGGGTTAAGGAATGCCCAGAAAGCTGGTAGAGCTTATTTCTGCTTGTGTCTGTAGGGGAGTTTCTGAAAGAGATTAGCACTTGAATCAATAGAAATAAAGAGGAAAGAAGTAAAGAATATCCATCCTCTGTAATGTGGGTCGGCATCATCAAATCTGTTCAGGGCCCAGATAGAATAAAAAAGGAGGAGGAAGGGCAAATTTGTTCTTTCTGCTTGAGCTAGGGCTTTCATTTTCTCCTACCCCTGGACATCAACAATCCTTGTTCTTGAGCCATCAGACTTCAACGAGAGCTTATATCATTGGCCCCCCTGGGTCTCAGATCTTTGGGTTTGAACTGAAACTACACCACCGGCTTGCCTGTCACATGAACCAATCCGTCATAATACATCTCTCTCTCTCTTTTTCTCTCTCTCTCTCTATATATACACATATATGTGTGTGTGTGTGTTGTGTGTATATGTGTGTGTGTTTTATATATATAATACATCCCTTTATAAATCTCTCCTTCTCTCTCTCTCTCTCTTTATATATACATATATATATATATATATCTCCTATTGGTTCTGTTTCTCTGGAGAATAATACAAACTAATAAACCCTAAAGATGAAAAGTGGCTCTAGAGGAACAGAATTTTAAGGATGAGTTTTCTGATTTGGTTCTGAGGTTTCTGGAATTGGCTTTCTAATACCATTACATTAATGACGTTAATGACTATTTCCAATTCTAAAGAGAGCACTGATACTCCATTGCATAAACTAGTTATAGAGATAGAAAATATCTGCATTGAATACTCCTGATCCACCATTTATAAGAAATAAGAAGATAGATGACTCTGTATATGAGATTTTCAAATATTTTTTTAAAAATTAATGAGTATAATAGCATTGTTTGGTTGCTTCTTACGTTACTGGACAAAGTGGTGAAAGAAAAGGATGAGCTAAGGGATTCAAATTCCCAACTCAAGTGTCGTATATATGACATAATAACCTCTATGTGCGCCCTGAAGGATTCCTTATCTCCTGTAGCCACAGGGTTGAAATTGCTGAAAATCAAATGCAGAACTTCATGCTACAATTGGCTGAATTACAACACAAGTTGAACTCCCAGTGCAGGATTTCTACTGTTAAAAGTCAAGACATTGATTGGGAAAGAATGGAATACTATAAGTTGGGATGGAAACATGTGTGAAGGTCCTGATGAAACTGGGAACATTGAGACCATAAATTCTGATGAGTCATCTTACCAGTAGAAAGTCTTCCCAACCCCAGTGGTATCAGCCTCTCTACCCACAGTTGTATTAGTCTTTTAAATTAACCTCACGTTACCTGAGGAAATGGTAATGACCTCTCTTGAGGCTGTTGCCATGCAAAATAATGTCCTCAGGACCAGTACCACCACTCCTCTTTGCTTCTAGACCTATAGCTAGACTCAAGTCCCAGCAGGCCCCTAGAGATAAGGTAGAAAGTGCGACCCATAAGGAGGTACTACACTGCAAAAGAACTACGTGAGTTTTCTAATTTATACAAGCAGAAATCAAGGTAACATGTGTGGAAGTGCAAACTAAGGGTGTGGAATAATGGCAGAAGGAATATAAAGTAGGATAAGGCTGAATTTACTGATAAGGACCCATACTAAACAGAAATTTTGCATTTATTGTTGCAGCTGAGGGAGTTATAAAGGGCTTTAACAGTTTGTTTGCTTGGTTAGCTGAAACACTGAGCGAAACATGGCCCATTGTGAGTGAGTTGGAAATGCTGGATAAGGCTTTGGTAAATGGGGAAGAAGGGATTCAAAGGCTTGGGGAGATTGGAATGTTAGAGTGGACTGTCATTTAAGACCTGCTCACCTACACTGGGAGGGTCCAGGAGGCAGGCCTTTCACATTTACTGAAAGAAATAAATGTGTGCGGGGTCCCTCAGTATTAAAGAGCTCTGTGATCACTCTTCTCTGTAGTCAAACCTCGCAGTAGGAACTATAGTCACTGAAATGGAAAACTTAAATGCAATGGGAGTAATTGGATCCTAGGGCACTCAACTGCCAAAGACAAAGTGAATGTGGTTACTGTAATAGGGAGCAGAGTCAAAGCAGCAATCAGAATAGTCTGACTTGAACCGACCTATGGCATTGGCTAGTTAATCGTGGTGTAATAGATAGGAGCCTATTAAAATCTTATTTGATCTGCATAAGCAGAAAAGTTCTAGGTCAAGTGAATAAAAGATTAGCCTGAATCACAAAAACAGAGAGTCACATCCTCTCAATCAATTCCAAGAGACCCAAAACATCACTGTGGTCCTCTAGTCAGAGTAGAAATTTATGAAGGTCAGGTGATCAATGGAGTTTTAGTTCAGGTGCATCTCACAGGGGTCCTCAAACCCATCCTGTGGTTATTTCCCTGGCTTTGAAATGCATAATTGGAAATATACTTAACCACTGTCAGAATCCCTACATTGGTTCCTTGACCTGTGGAGTGAGGGCTATTATTGTAGAGGTGTTGAGTGGAAGCCGTTAGAACTGCCCCTTCCTAGGAAAATAGTAAATCAAAAGTAATTCTACTTTTCTGGAAGGGTTGCATAGATTAGTGCCACCATCAAGAACTTGAAAGATGCAGGGGTGGTGATTCCCACAAAGATCTTATTCAACTCTCCTATTTGGCCTTGTGCAGAAGACAGATGGATCTTGAAAAATGACATTGGATTATCATAAACTTACCAGGTGGTAACTCCAATTGCAGCTGCTGTGCCAGATGTGGTTTTATTGCTTGAGCAAGTTAATACATCCCCTGATACCTGGTATGCAGCTATTGATCTGGAAAATGTCTTTTTATCCATACCTGTCCATAGGCCCACCAGAAACAGTTTGCTTTTGGCGGGCAAGGCCAGCAATATGCCTTCAATGTCCTACCTCAGGGGTATCACAACTCTCCAGCCCTATGTCATGATTTAGCTCACAGGCAACTTGGCTGCCTTTCCCTTCCACAGGATATCACACTGGTCCATTATATTGATGATATTATACTGATTGGACTGAATCAGTAAGGAGTAGTCACTACTCTTCACTTATTGGTAAGGCATTTGTGTCTCAGACATTGGGAAATAAATCCAACTAAAATTCAAGTGCCTTCTGCTGTAGTGAAATTTCTAGAGGTCTAGTGGATAAATTGTTGCATCTGGCCTCTCCTACAACCCAGAAAGAGACCCAGTGTATTGTAGGCGCCTTTGGATTTCAGAGGCAAAAAAATATTTCTCATTTGGGTGTGCTATTCTGGTCTTTTTACCGAGTGACCTAAAAAGCTGCTAGTTTTGAGTGGGGTTCAGAACGAGAGAAGGCTCAGCAACAGGTTCAGGCTGCTGTGCAAGCTGCTCTGCCACTTGGTCCATCTGGTCCAGCAGATCCAATGGTGTTTAAAATGTCAACAGAGATAGGGATGCTGTTTGGAGCCTTTGGCAAACACCTATAGGTAAATTGCAGAGCCAGCCTTTAGGATTTTGGAGCAAGGTTTTGATATCAGATAACTACCCTTCTTTTAAGAAACAGCTTTTGGGCTGCTACTGGGCCTTAGTAGAGACTGATGGACCACCACATTATCATGTGATCTGGACTGCCAATCACAAACTGGGTTTTATCTGACACCCAGCCATGAATTTGGGCATGTATAGCAACAATCCCTCGTCAAATGGAAATGGTTTATACGTGATCAGGGCCAAATGAGCCCTCAAGGCATAAGTAAATTGCATAAACAATTAGCCCAAATGCGAATGGCCCTCCTTGCTGCTACACTGCCTTATCTCTCCCAGCCTGTACCTACAGGCTAATGAGGAGTTCTCCACAATAAATTAACAGAGGAGGGGAAGACACAAGCCTAGCTGACAGATGATTCTGCATGATACGCAGGTACCACTCAAAAATGGATAGCTGGAACATCTCTAAAGGACAGTGGTAAAGGGAAATCCTCCCGGTGGGCGCCACTTGGGGAAGTGCACCAGGTTGGAAGTGCCCTTTGCTTGGAAGAAGTGGCCGTATGCAATTATGTACCAATTCATGGACTGTAGCCAATGATTTGGCTGGATGGTCAGGGACTTGAAAGGAACATGATAGGAAAATTGTGACAAAGAAATCTAGGGAAGAGGTATATGGATAGACCTCTCTGAAGGCAGGGGGAGATATTTGTGTCCCATATAAATGTCCACCAAAGGGTGACCTCAGCAGAGGAGGACTTTAAGAACCAAGTCGATAGGGTTCTATTGGCACCTGATAGTCTATTTCTCCATCCACCCCCCCCCCGTCATCACCCAATGACCTCACGAACAAAATAACCATGGTGGCACGAATGGAGGTTATATGTGGGCTCAGCAACATAGATGTCCACTCACCAAGGCCAACCTGGCTATGGCACCACTCAGTGCCGAATCTGCCAACAGCAGAGACCAACGCTGAGCCCCTGACATAGCGTCATTCTCCAGAGTCAGCCAGCCACCTGGTGGCAGGTTGATTACACTGGACCACTTCCATCATGGAAGGTGTAGCATTTTGTCCTTACTGGTATAGACACTTTGGATATGGATTTGCCTTTGCTGAGTGTAATGCTTCTGACAAAGATACCATCTGTGGACTTACAGAATACCTTATCCACTACTATGTTATTTCAAACAGCATTGCTTCTGATCAAGAAATTACCCTCACAGCAAAAGAAGTGCAGCAATGGGCCCGTGCTCATGAAATTCCCTGGTCTTACCCACCATCCTGCAGCAGCTATCTTGATAGAATGGTAGAATGGTCTTTCGAAGATTCATCTGGCATCAAGCTAGGTGGCAATACTACCAGGGCTGGGGCAAGGATCTTCAGAATATGCTCTAAATCAGCATCCAATATATGCTGCTGTTTTTCTGGTAGTCAGGATTCACAGGTCTAGGAATCAAGGGGTGAAAATGGAAGTGGCACCACTTACTGTTACCCATAGGGACTAATAAAATTTTTGCTTCCTGTTCCCATGACTTTATGCTCTGCTGACCTAGAGTTCATAGTTCTAGAGAGAGGAATGCTTCTACCAGAAGACACAACAATGATTTCGTTGAAGTGGAAGTTAAGACCCACCCAGTCTCTTTGGTCTCCTCATTCCTCTGAATCAACAGACCAAGAAGGGAGTTACAGTGCTGGCTGAGGTAACTGTTCTGAATACCAAGAGAGAAGTGGACTACTGCTCCACAATGGACATAAAGAAGAGTATGTCTGGAATACAGGCTATGCCCTAGAGAATCTTTTATTATTGCCATGACCTTTGATTAAAGTCAGTGGGAAACTATAACAATCCAACGAAGGCAGGACTATGAATGGCCCAGACTCTTCAGGAATAAAGATCTGAGTCACCCCTACCCCATAAAGAAACATAATCAGCTGAGGTGCTTGTTGAAGGCAAAGGGAATACAGAATGGGTAGTAGAAGAAGGCAGTTATCAATACCAGCTATGGCCATGTGACCAGTTACAAAAATGAAGACTGTAATTGTCATAAGTATTTTATCCTTATTTTGTTACAAGTATATTTGTTTTCTTTCCTCTTTTATTCCTCTTTTATCCACTTATCATGTAGCATAAGATGTATTAACTTTACATCAGTATTTTAGTATTATTAATTTTACATCATGGTATTTAAGTCACAGGATATTAGGGAAGAGTAAATATATCAGTTAAAGACTTTACCTCCTATTCTAGGAAAGGGATTTGTACATTTTTGTTGTATGCTGGATAGTAGTATCAGATTAAATGAAATTATGACCTAGTTGTCTTTATTTGGAGATCAAGTATGGTTTAAAGAGATGTTTATAAGAAACAAGTTGACAAGGGATGGACTTCTGATGGTTAATTTTATGTGTCAACTTGATGAGCTAAGGGATGCATGCCCAAACAGTGGGTAAAACATTATTTTGGGGTGTGTTTGTGAGGGTGTTTCTGGAAGGGATTAGGATTTGAATTGGTAGACTGAGTAAAGAAGATTGCCCTCCCAGTGTGGAATCATCTAATCAGTTGAGGGCTCAAAGAGAACAAAAGGGAGGAGGAAGGGCAAATTTGCTCTTTCTACTTGAGCTGGAACATTCATTTTCTCTTGCCCTCAGACATCAGCACTATCAGCACTTCTGGTTCTCAGGCCTTCAGACTTGGACCAGGAATTATATCATCAGCCCCCAGTTTTTGGGCCTTTGGGTTTGGACTGCAACTATACCACTGGCTTTCTGGGTCTCCAGCTTGCAGATGGCAGATCATGTGACTTCTCAGCTTCCATAATTGCATGAGCGAATTTCTCATAATAAATCTCTCTATATCTATATAAATATCCTATTGATTCTGTTTCTTTGGAAAACTCTGACTAATACAGCATCCAACCCGTTCTTACTAGGGGATGGTCAGGAAAGACTGAGAGGTGAGATGATGTGTTGGGGAGAAGGTGCAGAAGGCATTCCAGGTAAAGGAGGTAGCATGTGGTAGGATGTGGCTCCTGCTTACCCTAAAATCTGTGTTAAGGAATTTGGCCTTTATCTTTAGAGCAGTAGGGACCATGTAAGTATTTAAATAGAGGTGTGGCATACTAGATTTACATCCTAGAAAGAGCACCATGTCCCCTGATTCTCAAGGTTTGTGTTCAATTTAACAAGCATTAAATGAGCCCTTATTACAAGCAAAGCATCCCTCCTTTGTGCT
This sequence comes from Homo sapiens, assembly GCF_000001405.40. Taxonomy (NCBI): domain Eukaryota; kingdom Metazoa; phylum Chordata; class Mammalia; order Primates; family Hominidae; genus Homo; species Homo sapiens. The sequence continues at coordinate 67,626,790 of NC_000012.12, forward strand.
TTTGGGAAAATTAGAACATAAAAATTTTTCATAGACATACCTATAAAAAATTAAAACTATATTGGTAACCTACATTTTAAGCATATGAATGCAATATATTTAAAGAATCTTGTTTTTTTTCCCAAAGTTAATTGCAATATGTTTACATTGGACACCAAGGGAAAAAAATATTTTAAAAGCTTACTGAGAATGAAAAGGAATACATTTGCAACTTCTAAGGTTGGGAGACTTGGTGGTTGCTTCATAAGTGTGCAGCAGAAGCAAGTTCATATGTATTCTGAAAGCATGTTTGATGCATGTGACTAGAATTTATGAAGAGGCAAAGCTATGTTCTTTATGAGCTCTAGGCCTTTCCTGCCTGGAAAGGACAGCCACCCTCTTGTGGGTGTCATATTTTGTCATCACTGCAGTGCAGGTGTGAGGAGCAGCCCCATACTCCACTTTTCCATGTGCCCAGTGTTGTCATTAGAGTCTTTGTACTGGCTTCAGTAAAACAATCTTCAGGACAGACTATCCTGCTCTGCCCTTATACCCTTTTTCTGATGTTGCACAGTATTTAGTCACTTCTGGGATTTCCTATCAGAGTTGAGAATTGTGGGAAGAGGAAAGGGATTTTCATAAGACTTTATTATATTACTTGGGTTCAGATTTGTACGTTCTTGATTGGTTCTCTCTGTTCAAAGGTCAAATTCACAATAGTGCTTTTGACTCTGCAAGAGATAGATTTTCTTTGTCTCCTGTAGAACATTCTTACTACCTATGAATAAAACTTTATAAATACCGCAATTATTTGGGTTCTATTTTTGTATTATTCTCTTTTTTTTATTGTAATTATTAAGAACATGAACTCTAGCTGGGTCCAAACCAGGCACTGAAACTAAGTCTGTAGTCTTAGGCAAATTTTTAAACCTCCTTTTGCCTTAGTTTTTCTCCTCTATTAATAGAGATAACAATTCTCCACTTTCATAGCATTGTAGTCAGCTATGATACATAAAGCCCTTAGAATACTACCTGTATGATACTACACAACATTGCATTTTGTAAATTGAGTACTTTGTAAAGCGCTTTGAAGGAAAGTCAGAATGAAAAAAATTCTCTGAAATGGGTAAATGCCAACTCCAGAATTAATATTAGACAGTTGATCGCATCGCATTTTAACACAACTTTGATGGCACATACAATGAACAGTGACTATACCCACATCTAAATTAGTGCTAAGAAATTAATAGCTAATTGAAACATTAATGTGGCCAGTATATTATCCATTTTGCTTTATTTTATAATTGTTTCTACTAAAGTAACAGATTTTTATATTGTGGGTTTTTTTTCTTTTGGTCTTTTTTTCAGGTTCAGAAGGAACATTTAAGTAACATGGGCCTAAGAGTTGTAACATCTTAACGCATGGTAAGATGTTAAAACAAATGTAGCCATCAGTGACGCCACTGAATTAATCAAGTAGTTGGTGCAAAAGTAATTGCAATTTTCTCCATCACTTAAAGGGCAAAAACCATAATTACTTTTGCACCAACCTAACAGAACTCAGATGCAGAAACATGCCCAACAGCCACAATGGCCTAAATGTACCTCTCCAAAGGGCCTTATTTACAATCGCCATAATATTAAAGTGAATCCTCTACCCCTTAGTAGGGCATAACTTGAAATAGTGAATTTTCCTTTGTTCATATTTAGAGGTTTCACATGTTTGGAATTCAACAACAGGGCTTAACTTCGATAAATCAGGAATCATGGGTCATGTTCAGAGAATGTAGGAAATAAATCTTTCTGTGTTGGCTCTATCCTTCTGAAGATCATATAAATATGCTCATGATTGGAAGCATGCATTCTTCTTTATAGATTTCAATTCTGAAAATAGAAAAGTTTACATCTATGGCATTTCTACTTAATTCATTCATCAAACATTTTTTCAAGGAACTCTTATGTCCCAGGCATTGTTCTGGGTACTGAAAAGCAGCAGTTAAAAAAAAAAAAAAGAGAATGACAAAAGTCTCCAACCTCAAAAAGCATACATTCTAATGGAGGGAGACAACAGAAAACAAGTGAGTACAAATAAAATGTCATATGGTGGTAAGTGTGAAGAAGAAAATAAAGCTAGGGTCTGAGAGGCAGCACTGCAATTTTAAAGAGAATGCAGCTTTAAATAGACTGCACCTTTAAATAGACCTGAGCAAGACTGCAACGTTTAGGCTGGGATGGCTGTAATCCCAGCACTTTGAGAGGCTGAGGTGGGAGGATCACCTTGAGGTTGTTAGAGGCTTCATGAGCTACGATCACGCCACCGCACTGCAGCCTGGGACACAGCTCAAGATCATATCTTAAATAAATAAATAAATAAAACAAAGAAGGCAACATTTAGCAAAGACTTGAAGGCAAGGAGGACATTCTTGAGGAAGAGTACTCCAGGCAAAGGAACCAACAGGAGCAACAGGTAAGGCATGTGTGGCGGGGCATGCACGGTGTGTGTGAGGAACAGCAACAAGGCCAATGTGGCTGAAGCGAAGTGAGCAAGGCAGGGCGAAACAAGGCAAACCACCAGAGGGGCAAAAAAGGAGCACATAAATTATACAGGAGCTTTTAGCTACTCCAGAGACTTTGGCTTTTGCTCTGGCTAATGGGAAACTGTCGGGGAGTTTTGAGAAGAGAAGTGCCATGATCTTACATTGTGAAGAGATCAGTATGCCTACTGTTAAGAGGCTACTTCTGTAATCCAGAGGAGAGATAATGGTGCCTTTGAGCATGGTGATATTTGTGGCAGTAGTGAGAAGTAGGTGGATCCTGGATATTTTTTAGTGTAAAATCAACAGGATTTGCAGATGGATGTGATGTGATGTGTAAGAGCGAGAGAAGAATCAAGAATGACACCCAAGTGTTTGGCTTGAGTGATGGAAAGTCTAGACTTGCCATTTGCTGAGATAAGAAACACATATTGGGAAAAACAGAGGTAGAGAGGAAGAAATCACACGTTCAATACTGGCTACGTTAAGTTCGATATCCTTATTTATCAGGTATCTAAACAGCGATGTTGAATAATGTCTTAGTTCACTTTGTGTTGATATAAATAACTACCTGAGACTGAATAACTTATACAGAAAACAGGTTTATTTGGCTGACAGTTCTGCAGACTGTACAAGAAGCATGGCACCAGCATCTGCTTCTGGTGAGGACCTCAGGAAGCCTCCAATCGTGGCAGAAGGGGAAGGGGAGTGGGCATTACATGGCAAGAGGAGGGAAGCAAGAGAGAGAGAGGGGCAGGTGCAAGGCTCTTTTTTAACAATCAGATCTCCCAGGAACCAACAGAGGGAGAACTAAGTTATTATGCAAGGACAAATGTTCATGAAAGATCCTGAATGTCCCAAATACCTGCCTCCAGGCCCCACCTCCAACATTGGGGAACAAATTATAACATAAAATTTAGAGGGTACAAATATTTAAAGTATATCAAAGAAAGAGTTTGCTTTAAGCATCATCTCTGTTCTGAATATATTACTTATAGCTGAGTGTTTCTGTAGTAATGAGACATTTGAATTGTTTCTTGGTGCAAACCATGTTTATGAACTTCTACAAGAAGTTCAGAACCTCAACACTGCTTTCAGGAAAAGCAAACTAGTAACAGTAAGATATCAGTTGTGTGCTTCTGATGTAGAAAAAGAGTCCCAAAATAGAGCTAACTCTGTCTAGAAAAGCTGCAAGAGGTTACCAAAGAGTAAAACCAAAGATTTTACTGCAGTGAGCTATTACACAGGCAGTGGTTTTAGGGTCTTCGCACTCTTCGGTGCTAAGTATAAATCGGTTTGATTTTCAAGCACAAGAGAAAACAATGTTTCTTGTGCCAGGTATGTATTTATGCACAAACTAGTTTGAAAGGCTTCAGCGTGAATGCCCAAATTACAATTGACCTCTGTTAGTCTCAGCAGTAGCACCAAGAAATGGAGCATAAGAAATGAAAAGAAAGAAATGTCAGGATACATTTGTAGCAACAGAGAAATGGCGGTGAGAAAATCTCAGGAAATACAAAGCTTACAGTAAAATTAAAAATCTAAATGCCTGCTGGAGAAAGGTGGTAATGTCAATGGGTAAAGCCAGCCTAGCACACACACAATAACAGGAAGTGGTGGGGACTGCGGTGACCTGCAGGGCAGGCACTGGTGGGAAGTGGGGAGGGCTGAAGCTACAAAAGGTGGGGGATGTTCTCCGTTGCCAAGTAGGACTAGGAGGAAGCACAGTGCAGACAGATTTTGCCTTATTTCCAGAAAAGCCAGAAATCTGGATATTTACATGAAATCTCCTGATTTTTAAATGTTGGCATTTAGTTCACATTTTCAAAAAACACTGTGGAAGCCAAACAAAACATATCTGCAGGCTGCTTTTGATCTGTAATTTCTAACTTTGCAACTTCTAACTTTGCCATTTACATACAAACAGTTTTAATTATTGAGTAAACTGAGCCATTAAATCCCTACATAGTTATGACAATGATTTCCCCTACACAGAAGAAACAGAAGAAACCATTTTTTTATGACCTGAAGCTTCTGTTGCAGTATGAAATCATGTTATTCAAATACTAGCAGAGGAAAAGCAAAATAATAGAATAAAAATAATTCCTTTCCTTTTCAGAATTTTTACAAATGAAAGTTGTCAACTTTTATTACTACTTTTGCATAAATCTTCTGAAAGTTAAGTCACCATTAAACTAAATATGATGTGGAATAAGGTAGAGTTACGCTCTGCTGCTTCTGAAATAGGTTGACATTTTATAAGATTCTCCTGGAATATTCCTCTGAAGGATGTTGGGTTTCAGAAATCATATAAGCTGATGGAAAACGACTGGTTCTGACTGAAATGAACAAGTGGAAGGAGAGATTTTCATTATGACTAAGGCTATTTCATAGTCTTTCCCAGTAACTCATTTTCTCCATCATTCTATCTGGAAATCTTCATTGAAAAGCAAGAATACCAGACAATTGGATAGATTTGAAGGAATGCTTAAACTCGATTCATTCTCATAGCCTAAGCAGGCCTCTGGACCATGCTTCAAGCACTGTGATTTGAGAGGAATCTGAGAAATGTTCTATCTTCCAGGGAAATTTCCTAAGAATCTTTTGCCCTGTGGTGGCTTTATTTCTACCTATACCTATAGATTTGGAGGAGAGAGGGTCTTCATTTTTCTCCTCTAAATTAATTGAGAGAATAGACATTCCTAGAGTGGGGGTAATATCTTAAAACCCTTACCAGCTAATGGTTAAGGCAGGAAAATGACTTTTTGTTCCCCCAGCAGGAGCAGGGAGCCAACAGGGCAAGACTATAAAGTAATGGCAGAAGCTCCGGAAGTCTGGAAACAGTATGAACTGGAAGTGTCAGAGTGTCACTCAATTCTGCCTAGAGCAAGAGTTCAGACAGCCTTCAAATCACTTTGGATAAACACAGGAGGCAGCCAGGGAAACAAAGCACTGTGGAGTTCAGTGTTCATTGCCCGGATGGGCTGATGGGCTCGTTGAGGAGAGGGAGTTTATTTTAAACATCTTTTGTGCCTCTTTGCAATGCCTGGTGCAGGGTTAGGCATACATCTTAGATGTAATAAATACAAGTTTAAATGAGTACAACATCTTCAGATGGATTTGTGACTCTAGTGTCAGACTATTGTATATATTATCATTTGACATTTCAAAATCATTTATATTCTATCATACTAAAAGGCTCACACATGCATGTATTGTTGAAGTTATTAATGGTTTCTTACCTAATTCAGGCACATTAAGTCTGCAGGTTAAATGCCAAGAAGTAGACTTTCAATATAACTAAAACATGCTCCTTAGAAGCAACCAAATTGTTTTAAGTATTTTAATTAAGATACTTATAAAATTACTGCACTCTTTCTTGCTTCACAAATTAGAGTTAAGTATAAAGAGCAAAACTGAACTATTTCTTAATCACTGCAAAAGATCATCCATCACATCTGTTGCATTAACACTTTAGGATTATTGTTGGTCTAGAGCATCTTACTTCAGTGCTCTACGGCTTAAAGCAGCTATGCTTTTTAGATCCTTTGCTTGCTTTTGACAATTTTTCTGTCTCTTTCCTTACTGAAAATAGTCAGTGGATCTTTTACTATCACCCTCCCACCTTTCTTAATTTGCTAACTCTAACATGCAATGGCCTGAGAAACCAGATTTCTAAGCTTAATAGGAAGGTGTATCAAAGAATAATAGCTCATACTTGTGCATTTTCTGTGTGCTAGGTTCTGTTCTGTGAATTTTAAATAGGTAATCTGATTTAATCCTCTATGAACCCTACAATGAAAATACTATTTTACAGGTGAGAGAACTGACACAAAGAGCTTGAGAAACTTGCCAAGTTCATATAATTAGTAAGTAGGGGAGACACAATCTGTATTCAGGCCATCTGACCACTGTACCATGCTATGGATTGTTTTTGAGTAAAAGAATGGATGATTCTTTCATTAATAAAATTCATGGATTGCAATGCATGGATTTTGTGACACCAATTGTGTTTATCTACAAGTCTTTAAAAAGTCCCTTCTGCTCTTCAGCTGTGTTCTGGATCGTTGATGTTAACATTTGGATGACCTCTGAAAAAGTCAGAGTTATGGTATTTTAAATGTAGGGAAGGCATTTATATTTTCTGGCTTAGTCTTTTCACAAGATTAGTTTCAAAAGGTGAGTAGGGTTCTTGTTTGGTCTCATCAGTGATAAATCAAAATTTCCTCAGGTTCTTCAGGGAATTTAAAAAGTCCTCATTGCTTGAAATGAAAATAGAAAATGACTTCGAAGTTAGAGAGATTAAGGATAATTTTAGTAAACTTCACTCTCGCCCCCATTTTATACTAATCCCAAATCATTTCAGGAAAACTTTTAACAACTAGGGGAAAAGATGCATGGGGAGGGCTATGGAGGAAAAAGTGATGTTGGAAAAGCTTGGCTCAAGAGGAAGCTGCTGAATGTAGGTTGGTCATTTACCTGAACTTCAGCAGGACTTACTTTGTGAACTTTGAGGAGATTTGCTGACATAAAGGTTAGAAGTGGTAAGCCTGGGGACAGAAGCTGCTGTTGAAAATGTGGTCCTCCAAAAAAGAAGGAAGTTCTTACACTGCCACGTGCTCCAGGGCAGCTGCCAGCTAGCCATGTGTTTGCTCAGTGATTTCTTTGGCACTTTGCAAGATCTTGCAGGATTTCAGGATATTAGTGTTTCCCCCGACTTACTCTTCATAAATGGTCTCTTTAGACACCCTTTGCTGCCAGTTAGCTCTATGTGAAACACTTTAAAAAAAAAAAAAAAAAAAAAAAAAAAAAAAGGAGAGGATGTCTTTCTCTTTTCTATTGCTTTACCAGGTTAGAGAACATTATTTCTCTTTGGAGGGTCATCTTATTACTTTTCTGTTGATCTTATTTATATTATTTTGTTGATTTTTCATTTCTCAAGGAGGAAAAACTCATCTGACCCCATGGTATAGATACTTTTTTGTTTGTTTCAAAGATCTGAAATATACAGTAATTTCTCAGTCTTGGATCATTTCTCTCTACCAAGTTAGATTATTAGTCAACATTCCCACATGCCAATATGACTGTGCTTGACTGAATTACATCAGAAATGTATAATTCCAGTCAAGTTCTCATATTTGGTAGAGCATTTCTTTGGATAAATTCTCTGGGTCTTAACTTCCTTTTTTTCCAAATGTTGTCTTAATAGCTCTGTAGTGAGAGGAAGCAATTCTGTTTAAGAAACAGCACATAAGGGAAGACAAAATAAGGACCAAGCCAGTAAACAGCAGCATGGGAACAAGCCTAGAGTAAAAAAAGAAGAGATCTCAGATCTGCTTGGGTTGGGTGTGCTGATGTCAGGATTTCTATTGAATGGGATTCCCCAGCCATTGGGGGTGGGAGAGGGAGAAGTACTAACAGGGAAGCTGAATGTGCCACTGTTAGGTCAGATGAAAATGTGTGGGCAGGTAGTGGAAGATAGCGGCCTTCCCATCCTCCATGCCCCCCCCCCACAGCATATGTGCAAAGTTCTGAGTGGGTAAGTGAGCTCTGGCATCAGAGTCCCTGAATCCAGATCCATTCACTGCCAGTTACTAACAAGTTATTTAACCATTCAAGGCCTCTATTTCCTTGTCTCTGAAATCAGGATAATATACCTGCCTCATTGGGTTGCAGTGAGGAGTCAAGGAGATGGTTCAGGCAAAACACTTCGCACACAGCCTGACACATGGCTCAAGAATAAAGCAATCAAGGATTTTTTTCTTTCTGTAAAGCATATATTATATGAAACGTTTGTCAGGTTCTTCACTCATTGTAAATTAGGCAAGGAGGAAAGGATAATACAGCATTGGTATGAGAGGAGAGAGAGGGAAAACAGGTGCCCAAAATGGAACAACCCCAATGAGATGGAGAACTGAAATACAGTCATGTGTCACTTAATGACAAGGATACACTCGGAGAAATGCCTCTTTATGCAATTTCATCATTGTATAAGCATCACAGAGTGCACTTACACAAACCTGGGTGGTACAGCCTACTACACACCTAGGCTATACGATATAGCCTAATGCACTTAGGCTACAAACCTGTACACCATGGTACTGTAATGAATACTGTAGGCAGGTGTAATACAATAGTAAATACTTGTGTGTTTAAACATGTCTAAACATACAAAAGCTACAGTAAAAATAAAGTATAAAAAATTTTTAAAATGGTACACCTGTTTAGGGCACTTACCATGAATGGAGCTTGCAGAACTGGAAGTTGCTCTGGGTGAGTCAGTGAGTGAGTGGTGAGTGAATGTGAAGGCCTAGGACATTACTGTACACTACTGCAGACTTTATAAATACTGTACACGGACTCTACGCTCAATTTATTTAAAAAGTTTTCTTCCTTCAACAATAAATTAACCTCAGCCTACTGTAACATTTTTACTTTATAAACTTTCATGTTTTAAAAATGTTTTGACTCTTGTAAGAACACATAGCTGTGGTACGTGCCTATAGGCCTTGCTACTCTGGAGGCTAAGACAGGAGGACCCCTTGAGCTCAGGAGTTTGAGACCAGCCTGGGCAATATAGTGAGACCCCCCCATCTTGAAAAACAACAACAACAAACCCAGAAACACATTGTACAGCAGTACAAAATTATTTTCTTTTTGTATATTCTTATTCTATAAGCTTTTTCCTTTTTTTTTTTTTGAGACAGAGCCTTGCTCTGTCACCCAGGCTGGAGTGCAGTGGTGCGATAGCTCACTGCAACCTCCGCCTCCTGGGTTCAAGCAATTCTCATGCCCCAGCCTTCCTAGTAACTGGGATAGGCAAGCGCCACCATGCCCGGCTAATGTTTATATTTTCAGTAGAGCTGGGGTTTCACTGTGTTGGCCAGGCTGGGTCTTTGAACTCCTGACCTCAGGTGATCTACCCACCTTGGCCTCCCAATGTGCTGGGATTACAGGCATGAGCCACCATGCCCGGCCTTAAATTTTCTTATTTAAATTTTTTAAATTAAAAATTAAGACACAAGGACAGATTAGCCTAGGCTTGCAAAGTCAGGATCATCCATATCACTGTCTTCCACCTCCACATCTTGTCCCACTGGAAGGTCTTCAGGAGCAATAACACATGTAGTGAAGCTGTCATCTCCTAGGATAACAATGTATTCTTCTGAAATACCTCCTGAAGGACCTGCCTGATGCTGTTTTAAAGTTGATTTTTAAAATAAGTAGTAAGAATACACTCTAAGAATAAAACTTGAGCATGGTAGCTATATAAACCAGCAACATAGTTGTTTATTATCATTATCAAATATTATATACTGTACATCTGCTATACTTTTATAGGACTGGCAGCACAGTAGGTTTGTTTACAGCAACAGCATCTTAAACACATGAATAATACATTGTGTGACGACTTTGCAATGGCTACAACATCACTTAAGCAACAGGAATTTTTCAGTTCTATTAGAATTTATCAGAGTATCATCATATGTATTGTCCATTGTTGACCAAATCGTTGATAGACAGAACAAGACTGTAGCTCCAAATGAAAAGAGTTAACAATGTGTACTATAAGAAAATAATTTGATTCTAATATTCTAGTGATTTTTTTTCTATCTTTTGCCTAAAGCTTTCAATCTCATGCTTGGCCTCATCTCATACATTTCATCCTGTCCCTCTTCTTCCTTGTAAAAATTCCTACGAAGTTTCTCCTATCTCCTCCTTTCTCATTCTTGCTGTCTCTCCACATTCATTTTCTTATTTTGATTTACGTTTAAGTTCAGGGGTACACGTGCAGTCTTGTTATATAGGTAAACTCGTGTCACGGGGGTTTGTTTACAGATTTTTTAGTCACCCAGGTATTAAGCCTAGTGCCCATCAGTTATTTTTCCTGCTCCTCTCCCTCCTCCTCACCCTCTGGTAGGCCCCAGTGTGTGTTGTTCCCCTTCATGTGTCCATGTGTTTTCATCATTTAGCTCCCACTTATAAGTCAGAACATGCAGCATTTGGTTTGCTGTTCTTGCATTAGTTTGCTAAGGATAATGTCCTCCAACTCCATCCATGTTCCTGCAAAGGACATGATCTCATTCTTTTTTATAGCTGTATAGTCTTCTACAGTATGTATGTACCATGTTTTCTTTATCCAGCCTACCATTGATGGGCATTTGGGTTGATTCCATATCTTTGCTATTGTGAATAGTGCTGCAACGAACATACATATGTATGTGTATTTATGATAGCATGATTTATATTCCTTCGGGTATATACCTAGTAATGGGATTGCTGAGTCAAATCCCACACCTATTTTCTTGCTCGTCATCCTTTCTAGTACCTTCACTATGACTTATTTATCTTTTGCTGCTCTTTGAAAGCATTGATCTCTCTATTTCTTTGTCCCTTCCAGGTCACAAGAAAGCTGTTTTTTTCTTTTTCCAATAAGCAAACCTCTTTTTCCTGCCCAATTAACAAAATCCCTTGTAATCTCTGTTTTCGTAACTGTTATTATCTGCCTACCAATAGTTTATTATTTCTTGGCTAGTTTGTATTATTTGTGCCAGTTGGAAATGCTGATCAATGGCCAGTCACCTGCACACGTGCTAAATACAAATATTTGCTTACAGGCCTTTAGAGTTTCTGTATTTCAAAACCTTCATTAGAGAACAGTGCTGTGTGAACAATGGATATGTCCAATATCACTTATGAGAGATAAATAACAAGCACAATGTACTGTCTACAATGATACTTAGAGTAGCTCTTCTTCAATCAAAGACATTTTCGAATGTAAAAGTGTTAAAAAATTTCCAGGACAATTTAAGAACAATTGTCTAAATTATTCAATCATCAAAAATGATTTCTCTTGCCTTCGCCTAGCTAATTAAAGACAAACATGGGTTTGGGCCTTAGATTGCCCACTGACTGTTTATACTATTGAAATGAGCCAGCATATTGCCACCCCAGATTTTAACTTAAGTAAGAGTGCAGATGTGCATAAATGTATGATTTAATTAAAAGCAATTTTCCAAGGCCCTTGCGTGGCTAGATTCCTCTGTGGAATGGCAATATCAGTAGACAGGACCTATTTCTACTGCCATGGACTCCTCTTTTTCATTCATTTGAAGCAGAGGGGTAGATTTGTTGCAATAAGATAAAGAAGAAATAATTAACTTACGTTTGGACTTTTTGTGACTTTGGCAAAGTTTATTCTGAAACACCAGATTCAAATCATTCTCGGGGCGACAGTAAGAATTTTCCCCTGCAGTCCTAACGCCTCAAAGCTTGCCCATTATATGGCATGTGCTTTTGGGAGTACCTACCCCTCATCTCTAAAATGGGGGAAATTTTGTAATAATTGGGTTTGGGGGAAAAGAAAAGGAGAAATTTGTTAGCAGTCAACAAATTTGGATTCTAAACCTAATGCCTTGTCTACCCCTGCTAATGTCTCTGTACATGTCTCTTAGATATTTTTATTTCACTGTTTCCATCTATGAAGTAAGCTTGCCCTGGGTAACAGGCTACTGGGGAAAGCCAGAGAGTGGCCTGACCATATCAACATGAGGGGCTTCACTGAACAGCTCATTTTGTGATATGAAATGTTATTGATGGTAATAACAAGATTGATGTGGTCATGGTGGTGATCTAGTCAAATCTTTACCTAATGCTGAAAGCAACATCTGCATAGACTGTAGCGCCAAACTACTTGCCTTGGCATTTGATTTGCTGGGTGACCTTGGGCAAGTTAGTTAACCTCTCTGTGCTTCAGTTTCCTAATCTCTAAAAAAGTACTAATAGACCTACCACACAAGATGATTGTGAGAACTATATTTGTCCACATGGATAAAGCTCTTACAACACTAACTGACATGATAAATGCATTCTATAAGTATTAGCTATTATTTTGAGGGTACTCAGGCAGCCAAGATGTAAGGATACTATTACTCATTGGAAGGGTCCCTTAGCCTGAGACTCTTCTGCATTCTTTCCATGCAACCCAGGTCTAGGAAGCCCCAGTGATAGTTTAGGGTCATTGGGTTTTCCTGGTGAGCACGGCTATCCTGAACCAGACACTTCTAAACTTCCCCTATAATAGACCTACATCTGAAGGGAGAATGAAAGTCTACATCCCTGGACTTGGCCCATGGAGGCTTGGAGTTAGAGGGGCCAAATAAGCAGGGTTGGCTCATATCCCCAAGGTGTATGGGACCCCCAGGGCTGCCAGTAAACCAGGGCAATGGGTCATTCTGGATCCTGTTGGTGTGTTTGAGTGTCTCTCCCCTTCATCTCTTTACAATAGCTCTTTAAAAAGAGGATAACAAAGGAAAGAGAGGTCTTTAGATTTTTGCATTTTCTTTTAATGACATGTACACTTTAGCTTAAATTTAAACGTTGGCATCCAACATTGGCGAGCAGCCAGTGTATCAATTCTCTCCACAGATGAGACATCAGTTATTAAAGTGGGCTCCAGAGCACACTATTTACTCCTCATTTATAATACTTTATTTTCTTCCTGAGTGATTGATAAATTCTGTCTACACACCACTGGGAAAGGATTGAGGAGGGAATCTTTCTGGATTCCAGATTTCCCTGACCCATTATCTCTTAATTATATCTCACTTTAGCTGATCATTTTAATAAGCTTTATTACAAAATGCCTTGATAAGCAGGTTTAAGAATTGTGTATGCTTCTCAAACCCAAAGGTAGCAAGAAAACCATCTGGCCCTTCTGGCCTCTCTCTACTTCAAAATGAAGTCTCCTCTTTTGGGCTCTAGGGGAAGCATCTAAATAAATAGTATCTGCCTCTGCCTTGCTCTGGGACCACCCTCAGGTGCTCCTGAGAATGACCTCTGAACTGTTCTCTTCACTCCGGTTTCTTTAACACTCTGCAGCCAAAATGATGCACCTTCCCTACTTAGCACTTTCCTCAGGTCAACTCGCTGCTCAGAAATCTCCAGTGGCCTCTTGTGTCCATCCACCTCACATGTGAACCTCTTCCTGGCTTTTCGTTGTAGTCCGTGACCTGGGTTCACCTCGCTGTGCTCCTCGACACCTTATTTTCCAGTCCTCAGTTCCTATTCTCTACGTAAGGACCACCTGACCTTCTGCAGTGCTTATTCCCACTTCTCTGCCTTCATTTCTGTTGCTCCCTTAGTGTGGAGTGACTTTCTTCTGCTTAAGAGAAGCCTGCTCATTTTCTGAGGCTCAGATCAATTCCACTTTCTCCAGGAATTCTTCTCTCACTCCTCCAACAAACCCAATTCTCCTAGCCCTCAGGAGATCCCATTATCTACATTACATGGTACTTAGATATATGTTATCCTCTGTACCAGTCAGGATCTGGCAGAACAAACAGGACACAATCAGAATTTAATGTAAAGACCGAGTGCTAAAGTATGGATAGGATGAAGGGAAATTGACAAGAGAAAATGAAGCACCCTGGAGCTAGCAGCAGCAGGAAATCCTTACTACCTCTAGGCTTGAAGGGTCAAGGGGACTGGATGGTTTGCAAAACTCCAAGGGAATATCTACAGCTGGAGGAGAGGGCCTCCTGACAGGAGCTGAGGTCTTCTGGCAAGGGGCATAGCCAATCTTTGGCAAACCATCATGAAGGGAACCAGGGAGATAAATAGCCTGTCCTCACTGGCTTCCGTCTCTCACTAGTCAAATCCTTCTAGAAGTCAGTGGGCAAGGGAGCTCAGTGACACTGTTTAAAAAGCCTCCTGTGGCACAGAGCAGGGTGGAAAAGAGTAGAGAGTGAATCTGATGAGCAAAAGGAAAATATGCAGCACATGCTGTTTACTGTGCTGTTGAAATGTTTCCAGAGGTGTGGCTTTCCTCCTGAGCTAGGCTGAAAGCTCCTTGGGAATAGAGACCATGGCTTGCATTTGGTTTTTATCTTCCACAGTGCTTAGTTCAATGTGACTTCGAAAGGGTGTAAAAATGCATATACATTGAGGATTTCTTTCTTTTTTTTTTTTTTTCTTTTGAGACGGAGTCTCGCTCTGTCGCCCAGGCTGGAGTGCAGTGGCGCGATCTCGGCTCACTGCAAGATCCGCCTCCCGGGTTCGTGCCATTCTCCTGCCTCAGCCTCCTGATTAGCTAGGACTACAGGCGCCCACCACAATGCCCAGCTAATTTTTTGTATTTTTTTTTTTTTAGTAGAGACAGGGTTTCACCATATTAGCCAGGATGGTCTTGATCTCCTGACCTTGTGATCCGCCCGCCTCAGCCTCCCAAAGTGCTGGGATTAGAGGTGTGAGCCACCGCGCCTGGCTGAGGATTTCTTTTTAAGAGTCTGTTGTAATCTCTCACCTTGGGTTTGCTACCCACCCCCCGCTTTTTTTTTTTTTTTTTTTTTTGAGACGGAGTCTCGCTCTTGTTGCCCAGGCTAGAGTGCAATGGCGTGATCTTGGGTCACTGCAACTTCCACCTCCCGGGTTCAAGCAATTCTGCCTTAGCCTCCTGAGTAGCTGGGATTACAGGCACCTGCCATCACACCTGGCTAATTTTTGTATTTTTAGTAGAGATGGGGTTTCACCATGTTGGCCAGGCAGGTCTTGAACTCCTAACCTCAGGTGATCTGCTTGCCTCAACCTCCCAAAGTGCTGGGATTACAGGCATGTGGGTTTGCTATCTCTCTTTCTTCTTCTTCTTCTTTTTTTTTCCTTTTTGAGACGGTGTCTCACTCTGTCTCCCAGGCTGGAGTTCAATGGAACAATAACGGCTTACTGCAGGCTTGAACCCCTGGGCTCAAGTGATCCTCCCATCTCAGCCTCCCAAGTAGCTAGGACTACAGGCACATGTCACCACACTTGCCTAATTTTTGTTTGTTGTTTGTTGTTTGCTTTGTAGAGACAGAGTCTCCCTATGTTGGCCAGGCTGATCTCAAACTCCTGGGCTCAAGCAATCCTCCCACCCCAGCCTCCCAAAGTGCTGGGATTACAGGTGGAAGACACCACATGTGGTCTGATGTCTCTTCAAATATTTAAACCTCGATTTCCCAAATCACTCAAAATGAAATCCAAATTTGTTCATGTGGCCTGGTACCTGATTATGTCTCTGGCCTCATCTCTATGACTTTCCCTCTTGCTGACTTCACTGCTCCAGCCACTTGCCCTCTTTGCATGCCCCAAACATGTTACCACCTCAGGGCCTTTGCATCTGCTGCTTCTTTGCATATCCTAGGCCTTCTGCCCAGAGATTCCCATAAGCTTCTCACTTCTTTCAAATCTGCTGAGATATCACCTTATCAGAAAGGCCTTCACAGTAAGTAAGTTTAAGTAAAATAGTGCCCTCTCCAGCGTCTCCCTATCTTCTTACATCCCTTCATCTTCACCTAGTATTTATCCCCACCTGATGTGTGATATAGGCACTGTTTGTTAATTGTTATTCTCCTTGTGCTAGAATAGAAGATCCACGGAGCAAGGACTTGATCTGCTTTGTTCTGAATACCTAGATTAGTGCCTGACACATAACATAATAGGAGCTTGCTAATCAATACATATAGAATTAATGGATTAAGCCGCCAGTCAAGTTGGGTCCATTTTTACTGTGTATGAACAGTCTTAACAGTTTGAATGTAGGTGATTGCCCTTAGCCCATCCTTAGCTAAATAATTTCAGTTCCATTCAGTAAGGTTTTGTTGAATCTGTGCTAAGGCAGACCAGCAGCAGTGTCCAGTGTGGCTCTCACAGTGCTCACGGCACATACTTCTCCTCTCACTCACCACTTCTTAGCTAGGGGATGGCATGACTTTTGGTTAGAGTGGCACCAAAGACCCCATGACCTGGAACACCACAGAACTTTTTCCCTTTACTCTTCTCTGGTTTGCAAAATTGCACCATGGCTTCTCTCATAACAGATTCCCTAGTAGAGAATTTCAGAGTTTCTGTTGCTCCTTTTACATGTTCATTCCTCACCAGGTGCAAGGTCCAGCATGATCCCCAGGACCCAGGAATCAGCCTGTTCTTTGCTGGCTGCTCCCCGTGCAGCCCCATGGGCTTATCTCCTAGAGGCTGACTCCACTGGCACCTACTTTATAAGCTGTGTCAATTGCGTGGCCACTAGCCTGAGAAGACTGGTCTGGAAGCCAGCTGCTGGGACCCTACCTAGTCATGGCGCTCCTGTCCCTTTGAAGCTCCTGGATATACTGGACACCACTCCTCTGACATTTGTCCTGCTGGATCAAAGGAAGAGGTTTCAGCAGAGGTCCCACTGGGCTTTGTCTATGAGCTTTTTATTAAAGTACTCCAATCTCCAGGATGTAGCTTTCTCTTTTCCCTGCTTACTGGTTTTAAACATTAACTCTGTCCTTAGGATGCAGTTGGAAGAAAAGTCAGATGTATTGTTCCCAAGAAATTGCTGAATTAACTCTGCAGCCTTTCCAAATACCTAGATTGCCTTAGGAGGCAAATGTACCCCCCAACCTAGAATGGAGGAAACTGGCTCTGCAAGTGCCCTGACCGACATATAACCAACCTGCCCAAACACCTCATATCACCAACTTTCTAGCGGTATAGAAATCTCCTCTTGATTTCCACACCAGTAGTGGCCACAGAGCCACACTCCAGAGGCAAATTCAGATACCTTGTAGCCATTTGGTTATGACGGCCATGCCTCCTACTTCTGAAAAGTTTACATTAGTAGACTTTAGGCCATAAGGTCTTCATATTCTTTTCTAGGTAGTTCTGGACCTTGGTGATGGAGACATAGAAGGTACCGCCAGTTAGTGGTGTTCTCTTTTTTTTTTTTTTTTTTTTTTTTAGATGGAGTCTTACTCTGTCTCCCAGGCTGGAGTGCAGTGGCACAATCTTGGCTCACTGCAGCCTCCACCTCCTGGGTTCAAGCAATACTCCTGCCTCAGCCTCCCAGTAGCTGGGATTACAGGTGCCCGCCACCATGCCTGGCTAATTTTTTTGAATTTTTAGTAGCAACAGGGTTTCACTATGTTGGCCAGGCTGGTCTCAAACTCTTGACCTCAAGTGATCCACCCGCCTCGGCCTCCCAAAGTGCTGGGATTACAGGCATGAGCCACTGCACCTGGCCTGGTGTTCTCTTAAAGGGAGTTAGATCCACCTTCACCAAAATGAGTCAGTTCCTTAATAATTTATCTAGCTGCTCCAAAAGCCCCTGCACCTTGTTTTCACATATCCATAGCAGATAAAGTTTAGAATATTTCTTTATTTTTACTTTTTTTGTGGAGACAGGGTCTTGCTATGTTGTCCAGGCTAGTCTCAAACTCCTGGTCCTCCCTCCTCAGCTTCTCAAAGCACTGGGATTATAGGCATGAGCCATCATGCCTGGCCAAGTTTAGGATAATTCTTAACCTGACTTGATCTATCCATAAACCTAACCCTAGGAAGATAGCAGTACCACCCCTCTGCCTGGCACCCCAAGTTTCCTCTATTCTGAATTGCTTCCCCTTCCCCTGGGACACATCATGCTTTCTTACAACTTGACGCTTCTGAACATCCTATTTCTTCCACTTGGAATGTCCTAACCTGTCTCGCCTAACTTGCAAATTCCCACGCGTCTTTAAAACCTCCACTGAAGCACAGCCCCTGCCAGACACCACTTAAGTGGAGCTCGTCCCTCTCTCCTGTGTGCTATCTCTGTGACTCCTATATGCCTTCTTTACCACTCTTTTCACTTCATTAAATGTCTGGTCTCCCGTACGGAACTGTGAACTTCCTAGTAGCAGTGACCAGAGCCAGGGATTATTTAACTGTGTAGCCCCATGTCTTAGTTTGTTAGGGCTACTATAACAAAATACTATAACCTGGGTAACTGTAACAAACAGAAATTTGTTTCTCACAGTTCTGGAGGCTGGAAAGTTCAAGAGCGTGGTGCTGGCAGATTTAGTGTCTGGTGAGGGCCTGTTTCCTTGTTCATAAATGGTGCCTGCTCTCTGTGTCCCCACATGGTGGAAAAGGCTACTAACTCTCTGCAGTCACTTGATCTAACCACCTCCTAATACCATCACATTGTGGGTTAGGATTTCAAAATATAAATTTGGGGCGTACACAAACATTCAGACCATAACATTCCACCAACGGTGCCAAAAATATGTTAGGTTCTTATAGCTTATTGCTTAATTGAATAAAAGAATGAGTTCCTGGACAGGTGTGGTGACTCACGCCTGTAATCCTAGCACTTTGGGAGGCCGAGGCAGGTGGATCACTTGAGGTCAGGAGTTGGAGACCAGCCTGGCCAACGTGGTGAAACCCCGTCTCTACAAAAAATACAAAAATTAGCTAGGCGTGTTGGTGGGCACCTGTAGTCCCAGCTACTCGGGAGGCTAAGGCAGGAGAACCACTTGAACCATGAGGCAGAGGTTGCAGTGAGCTGAGATTGTGCCACTGCACTCCAGCCTGGGCAACACAGTGAAATTCTGTCTCAAAAAAACAAAAACAAAACAAAACAAGAATGAGTTCCTAATAGATTGCCAGACTGAAGTGTAGTCTACTGCATTTGATGATTCATCATGTCTCCTAGGCCTAGCACATACTAAATTCTTTGTAAATGTTTCTGGGATAAGGGGATTAAATGAGTAAATGTGTTTTGAAACCAGCAATTTTTATGTTCATTTCCAATTTTCCTTGTGATCAGTACTTTGCCCAGTGAAAAATCAACTTTCTTCCTCAAGGCTCTATTCTGAGTTCTCCTGTTTCTCTCTACTCCTGCTAGATCCTGCCTACCTCCTTGTTATCTGAATCTGGATTTTAAACATATAGAACACACAGAGTTTTTACAATGGGTGAAAACCAAAGAGCAGTCTCTTGCTAACTGAATGAAGCTTTTAAGGAGGTTCCTATTTAAAATGAAATCTGCTCTGGTGGAGTTATGAAGATTAAACATGGTAATATTTGTGAAAGTGTTTTATAAAGAGATCAAAATATGTGTAATTATATGAGATAATTGATAATGATGCATTATGATAATAAAATTTGAGGGAAATAACTCCCCAAATTTACCCACTTCACTCTCCCCAAAGCCCCAGGAGTGTGTTTGTACAGCTTTTCTATTTAACATTCACTCAGGGAGATGTCAATATTTAATAGAATATTTAACAGAATGAGGAAAATCTAAGCAATGGTTAATAGTCACTTAGAGGTCAGTAAAAATTAATATAATTTTCAAAGATGTACCATTTATAATCAAAATAGCTATGGGGTAGGTCAACTGCAATATTTCCTTATGTTAAGCCACAAAAAATATACAAAATTGAAATTATATTTGTCATGATATAAAACAATATACTACAAAAAGTTCCCTATTGTCTTTTTCTTTCTTAAAGTTAATGATTGTGATCCTTTGTCAAAAAAAAAAAAAAAAAAGAATCAGTGCTCCTTTTCCTCATGTTAAATGAGTAAATTAATATTACTAATTTGGAAATCGTAAACTATGGCTTCCAGTAACTAGCATTTATTTTATTCATGAGAAAACAGTGGCATATTTAGCTTCTACTGAAGTATTGTACGAATAACTTAAGCAAAAAGGGGTGTCATATTATATTAAAATTGATTTTTTTGTTTCATTTTTTTATTTGAACATCAGTTGTATGGAGTACTCATTTTAAAAAGGAAAATGGTATGAAAATAATTGTTTTGAAAGGAGAAAAAAGAGGTGTGAGCTTTCTTGAAAGTGTAAGGAAAGTAGTGTGATGGAAGTCATAGTGAAATCAGACTGGGAGTCAGAAAACCGGTTCTAGTGTCATCTCTGCTACTTAGTAGCCCTTTTCTTTTAGTCGATTCTAAACACTAAATATGCTTCCGCATGTGGATTTAAATGTGATGGTCGCCAGTGACAAGCATAGGGGGATATTTCTTGCTAGGGTCAGTTCAGGTCATGATTCCTCTAAAGGCATATTATTGGATTATTTTACTGTGGGTCTACTTTATTAGGAGAAGGCCCCGAAAGGGTGTTTTGTTTTGTTTTGTTTTGTTTTGTTTTGTTTGGAGGGACGTAATACTAGGGAAAATTCTTTTTGTCACAGGTTCCCTCTCCCAGTGACCCTAACTTGGAGGCCTCTTTAGGAGTCCCAGAGACTCTGAGAGGGTCACACTGTACCTTGAAACAGTTTTTGGCGTTTGTATAAAGCTGCGGATGCGCTCTGTAGGAGGTTGCTATGACAATTTGCAAACAGTAGAGTGGATGAAACTCCGCAGGAGGTGGCTCCCTTCCGACTGGAGTCTGCACTAGTTCGGGCCTGCACAGTAGGTCCAGCCAGGAGCCAGAGATACTCGGGCGGGGCAGAGCATAATGGACCCCTGGCCCCAAGAGAACTTCAGAAACTAGGCACCTCTCGAGAAGGAAGTGCATGGCATAACTCTGCCCCGTCATCCGGGATTTGTCGGGCTTTCCCACCCCACCTCCTCTCACAGTTGAAGTGGCAAAACCTGTGACCTTTGAACAGAGGCGCACTGTGTGCCACGCACGACGAGGCGCGGATGTGAGACGGGAAAGCAATTTTTTTTTGGTCTTCAAGGAAAAGAGAGGTTGTATATGGCGAATAAAAAAGGCAGGGAAATTCTCCACGTGTCTTGGAAGGGAAGGGGGAAAGAGATGTGTCGGGTGGGGTGAGAGGAATTCGAGGTGTCGCTCCCTCACCGCAGAGCTGAAAGGAAGGTGTGTCTCTCCCAGTGGCCGCGCAGGGGAAAGGCTCGGAGTTGTAAGGAAATAGGAGATGTCTCTGATGTTTATTTTTGCCTAGCAACCCACAGCCAACTGCTTCCCCAGCTGCCGTCCACACGCGCCTCTCTGCCTCCCCTTGTCCTAGCGACTGGCGAGCGGTCACTTGGTGTCAGTAAACCGGGGAGGGTGTGTGGTGGAGGTGGGAGGGCAGCCCCCTCTTTCGCCCCTGCTCAGGGTCAACGAGCTCAGCGGCCGCCCCTCCCGGGACTTGCCTCTCCGAGGTGACCCTCGCACAACTAAGTTATCTACATGATGAATTGGGGAGAGGGGAGTGGCTAAGTCGCTGGGACCAAGAATGGGGGGACGGGGAAGCAGTACTGTCTGTGAGCAGCCATTCAGTTCGAAGAGCTGAAAATGCATTTATGTTTAGGGGTGCGCATGGCAGGGGAGGGGTCTCTGCGGCGCTTTCGGCCGGAGGGCAGCAGCGGTAGGTTGAGCTGTAGGGCAGAGAAGGGGCGCCGCGGGGCCGGGGAGGGGAAAAGGTCGCCGGAGTGGAGCCGAGGGAAGCAGTGCAGATGGCCGGAGGGGGCGGAGGAGGGCGAGCGGAGGCCGCCGAGTTTTCCGGGGAGCGGAGGGGCGGCTGCGCGCAAACCGGGGGACTGAGAGGAGCCGGGCGGGAGGTTGGGTGGGGGTGGGGTGTGCGTGGCCGCGGCCGGGGGAGCCGGGGGCGGGGCCTGCGGCGGCGGAGGAGGGCGGCGGAGGGCGGCGGGGGCGGGGCCGCGCGCCGGCGCCTGTGTGTGAGTGCGCGGGGGCGCGCGCGCGCGGGCCCGGGAGAGGCTCCCGAGCCAGGCGGTCTTCGGTCCTCGCAGCGCTTCCAGCTCCCCGCGCCCCTATGTGAGGGAGACGGGGAGGCCCGCGGCGCGCAGGGGAGGGCGAGGCATGTGCACGGGCCGGAGGGTGCTGCAGCCGCCCGAGGAAGAGGAGGACGGCGGCGAGGAGGAGAGCGGGGGGCTCGCGGCGGCGGGCCCCGGCCGAGGGGATGCAGTGGACTGTGTGTGTCTGGCTGTAGCAGACGCGAGGCGGCGACGAGGCGCCGGGGACCCGCGCGAGGGGCGGCCGGGAGGCGGCGGCGGCGGCCGCCAGAAGTAGCAGCAGGACCGGCGGCGGCGACGGCAGCCCTGAAATGCATTTTCCTCTCCAGCGGCCATGTTAACCAGGAAACCTTCGGCCGCCGCTCCCGCCGCCTACCCGACCGGTAAGGAGGCCGTGCCGCCGCGCCGCATCCCCGGACCCCCGCCGGCCCTGGGCAGCCCCTGTGGCGCGGGCGGCCGCTGCCTGCGGGACCTCGAACAAAGTCGGCGGCGCGGCGCGGGGGAGCCCCCGGGCGGACGACGCGCCCCGGGCTCCATGCAGGGTTGTGCGCGGCCCCGAAGGCCCCTCCGCGGGGAGCCCTCGGCCCGAAGAGGCTTCTGCCTGCCGGGGGCCCGGGCGGGGACCGTCCAGGCCTGCCGCCCCGCCCTGCGCTGCCCGGGGCTTGGCGTGGCCGTGGCTCCCTGCTCAGCTGTCCAAACCCACCTCCCGGCTGCTGGCCGTCTGCAACGTGGGCCGCCTAGCCCCGGCGCGGCCCGGCTCCCCCGCCGGGTCGCGAACTCGCGCGCCAGGGCCCCACTTAACTTTGCAGCTGCCCGCGCCCCGCCCGTGGGTGTGCGCTGGGGAGCCGTGACCCGAACGCCCGTTTTTACTGCCCCGGTCTCTTCCTCCGTCTTTCTTTGGAAGAGGGTTGTCGCTGCCCAGCGGGGTTGGAGGGGGGGTCTGGGTGACTTTCTCCCCCCTGACCCTCTTTTGTCTCCTCCCGCACGTGGCTTCCAGGCCGAGGTGGGGACAGCGCCGTTCGTCAGCTTCAGGCTTCCCCGGGGCTCGGTGCAGGGGCCACCCGGAGCGGAGTGGGGACTGGCCCGCCCTCCCCCATCGCCCTGCCGCCTCTCCGGGCCAGCAACGCTGCCGCCGCAGCCCACACGGTGAGACCCAGCCCGCGGGCGGCCCGGGCGGTGGGGGCGGGAGGGGCCCCAGGCCGAAGCACCCGGACTTGGAGGGGTCTGACGCCGGGAGAAGAGGGGTCGAGATACAAGCAGCCCCACGCCTCGGGCCGATGGTCTCTCGTCGACGCCGCCCTGGTTAAGTTGGGCGAGCCCAAAGCTGCAGCCACAAAGGAAGATTCGTGGCGTGGGCCCCTTACTTCCCCTCCAGAGCTCGCCCACCCATGACCTCCTCTTCCTAGGAACTTCCTCCTTGCTGCTTTCCTTCTTTCCTCATTTTTCGTCCTTGCATCCCAGAGTTCCCTTCCCTGACCCGGTAAACATCTCTGTCCTTCCCCCACCTCCCCGTGGGTAGTGGGTATTTATAGAAACAGATACGTGTTAGGGGACAGCCAGACCGGCCTGCCCGGAAAATCGATCCCCCAAAGAGCCTCCCAGGCCTGGCTCCAGCCAGCAGGGAGCATCGCCAATTGTCCCCCGCGTGTGTAAGCATGTTTTATGAGTGCTACAGGTTTGAGCACAGCAGAAATTGTAATCAACATTAACAAAAATAAGGGCCGCCGCAGCAGTCAAAACAAGCCACCCCTGTAGGATTCTGCAGTTGGACATTATTCAAAAGGAAAGGGCAAGCGTTGCTTTGGAGGTGGGAAAGAAAAAGCACCTAACAGGTGCTGTGGTCTCTGGGAGGGGAGAGGCCAGCGTGGGACTGGTTGCTGGTGGCTGCGGAGACTGGCAAGCTGGATTCGACTAAAGCATGTACCTTTTCTCAGCTCCCAGGGATCACCCTTGGATGGTGATGGCCAGCCTGGAGGAGGTCTGCACTTGGAGGAGGTGATGGTTTGGAGGTCTTTTTTTCCCAATTGGATTTTCCACAGGAACAGCCTAAGATGGTTCTGTGTGAGGGAGGCTTGCTAGGGATTGGTTTTATTTGCTAAGTGAAAGTTGAGTTCTTGAAGAAAAGGCCATCTCCGGTCTACAGGGGAGTAGCTCTGGGGACATATGTTATGGGGAAACTTGTTTGTCAGAGAACTGTGAGGGGATGTCTAGACTGTAGTTGCACCTGTTAGACTTGGAGAGATGTGTGCAAGTTTCGTAGGAAAATGTTTTGTTGCTGTTACTATCTTCCCCCTCCCTCTGTCTGTCTCTCTATCCTGACACATCTGGTCCCAGGGGCTGGGAATTCATTGCACAGAGGTTAACTAACCTGTGTTGGACTGTGGATGGTATAGTAGGATGGATGATTCTGTATATTACTGTTAAGTGTTCTTGTCACAGTGATATTTAAGGGACTGCCATTGATTTTAGGGGTTTGGATTTTTTTGTTTGGGATCATCTGACAATTTGGAAAATATAATACCCAGTTTTTTGCTATGTGTTGATGTAATCACATGACATGGTGTGAGCTGGAAAAAGAACTATTTGGTTTGCATGTGGATTCCAATTTTGTAAGGATGGGCTTTGCTTGATCAGAGCCTCTTTGCAATTGAAATACATGTAATGAAAGTAGATGAAACGACAAGTCTCCACTGGAGGGAGAGCCTGTGGTGCACCAGAAAAGGAAGGATGCGAATGTGCTTCTCAGTACTCCTCATAATGGAGGCCTGTATTTTGCTGTGGCATATGCCAGATTTACTTGTTTTTAACGTGTGTGTAAACTTCGGTATGCTGTTAATTATTAGATGCTTGACTTTGAAGGTGTGAATTTGGGTTTCGATGGTGGTTTAGTTTTGATTTTATTTCTATAACATAGCAGATTTCATAGTACAGGAAAGGTTACAAGGACCACAGAGTTTATCTGGTTCTATTCTTTCAATTTATAGATGAGGAAACAGACTCAGACAAGGTAACTGGTTTCATCAAGATTCCCCAGCCAGTTCATATCAAGGCCAGAGTGAAAGCCTACATCCTCCTGCATCTAGTTTTAATATACTGATGGAGACTGCTAATTCTAGGAAATTGTACTAGCCTCATTATAAATGCAAGAACCTTTGTAGATCCATATTCCCATATGTCTGTCAGATTTTTATAAATTTTTAGTTATTATTTCCAGAGTAATTACACCTAGGAAGAACTTCTAGAATGAATGGGGGGCGGGAGGGCATTAAGGAGATAAAAATGATCTTGTCATAGGAGCTTGCCCACATTTTCTCTTACAGGTGATATAGTAGGCAGGTTAAATATATGATTATAAAGATTATAAACTTTGGAATTTATCTAGACCATTGCCCTTTTGTTTTATATCTCCATGTATAAGTTGTTTTACACTTTAGTTATTTCTGTTTGTGTGAGAGAGAGAAGTGTGCCCAATCACTGTCTTACTTCCTATTATTTTTCTATTAATGTTAATTGGTAGTTATTAATAGAAGTATTTTTAAATTCAAAAATATTAAAATATGTATAACTTTTGTAACTGTTTTACTATGTAAAACACTCCAGTTATCAGTTTTACCTTTATAAAATAATTCAAATTGAAATACACATTTTAAAAAATGGCAGTATTTTGAAGAAGAAAAAGTAGACATTTTTCTTTCTGACAGGGCCACACAGACTGTCAGAATGTTTGAGGAGGAGCTAAAATTCCAGTCTTTTTGGACTCAATTCTATTACCATAATACTATACAGCATTTCTAAGATGACTTCAGAAAAGTTTTTAAACGCCCAAGACTATTATCACAGTGGAATATCTGCTGTTTGCCATTTTCTTATTGGAAGAAATGAAAACTACCAAACTGGTTAGACTATTGTTTTTATATAATATTTAATACCAAAGTACTTGATGATCAAAGAAGCCTTTGCAGGTCTCTCAATTCGAACCCATAAATTGTAGCTATTTTAACAATTGTATTATGTTTTTATTTTTTGTTTTGTTTTGTTTTGTTTTTTTGAGACGGAGTCTCACTCTGTTGCCCAGGCTGGAGTGCAGTGGCTCCATCTCGGCTCACTGCAACCTCCGCCTCCGGGGTTCAAGCGATTCTCTTGCCTTAGCCACCCAAGTAGCTGGGATTACAGGCACCCGCCACCATGCCTGGCTAATTTTTGTATTTTTAGTAGAGATGGGGTTTCACCATGTTGGCCAGGTTGGTTATGAACTCCTGACCTCAAATGATCCACCTGCCTCAGCCTCCCAAAGTGCTGGGATTACAGGATTGAGCCCCTGTGCCCGGCCTCAGTATGTATTTTTAAATGTGACACACACTGTGCTATACATTGGCATATCGGAATAAGCCATGATCTCAGACTTCAAGAGGCTGAGCTGGAGGGAGAGGTTTTTAGTATCCTTAAGTTTATGATGTAGTCTTGACATACGTATTCTGGAAATGTTCTGGCATTTCTAGTCCCTCAGCACCCCCACCCTGCTCTCTGCCCCATTTTTTATAAGTCAGTTAATTGTGCTTTTGAGCTTGATTGTGATTTTAGAGTCCTGCAATGTTTGAGATTCAAAGTCTTCTTTTGCTAGAGCTTCTCAAATGAATCTCTAACATCTGGAAAGCTTTTAAGATTGCATGTGTTGCTTTTAGGTGTTTGGTTGATGTGTTTGTTGCAAGTGTTTTATACATGGTTTGATTGATGTGTCTGCTACAGGTACTTTATGCTTGGAGGTCCTTGGCCTCCAAGTCTGTGCGGATCCACTGCAAGCCTAACGTCTTGTGACTTAGGTCACCAGGGACGTTTCTTAATTCCCTGGGCCTTGACTTCATGTTTCCTTATGAAGGTACACAATGTAGTTCTCAGGAACAACTCCAAGAGAGGCAAGAGTTAACAAGGAGGATCTATTGGCATGTGTTCTTCCATCCCAAAGATATTTATTGAGGGCTTACTATATGCCTGGGTTTATGTTAATGAGGACTTGGAAACATAAGAGGGGACCCAGCCCTGGAATTGCTCACAGCCAGATGAGTACATCTGATGTTAAAACAATTGCAATAAAGAGAAATAAGTAAAAGGGTGAATCACCTAGGTATGAGAAAGGAGATTACAAGAAATATCTGGAAAGGACAATAATAATGCTCTCATTGACTGACTACTAAGCACTTTACACATATTACCTTATTTAATCCCCCTAAAAGCCCTAATGAGGTAACTTTGTTACCTTCTTTTTGCAGACAAGGGCACTGAGGTTAACAGAGATGAAATAAGTTGCCCTGGGTCACACATTTAGTAAATGGTGGAGCTGGATCATTTAATGTGTGTCTAACTGAAAATCTACCATTATGAAACCTGACCTCACTAAAAGCAGAGGAGTGTAAAAGTGTGTGGTGTTTTTTGGGTCCTGGGCTATCTAGCTTTGTTCTCTTGGAGAGAAGAGTGACAGTAGTTGATGAGAATGGAAGGACTCCGATCATTTAGCCTCTACATTTTAGAGCCTTGTGTTCTTACTGGTAAGTTCTTGCATTAGCTATGGAAATAGGTTACAGCCACAGGCCTTGGGCAAAAGCAAGAGTGGTCTCAGGTTGAGACTTTTAAATCAGACTCTAGAAGCACTATGGAGAAGAGATTTGAGGAATTCTAGACTTAGAAGCAAGGGGGCATGTTACGATGCTGCCTCAGTTGTCCCAGTGAAAGACATCAGGAGAGTGAGATGAGGCAGTGTTGATGGAAAGGGCCTGGGATAGTAATGATGCATCTTCTTGGTGACTTGGGAAGGTGAGGGAGGTGTTGAGATTTTCCAGGCACACAGTGCTGAGGATTCATTCGCAGGTGGATAGCCTGAGTGACACATGGAGGGGAAGCCTTCTTTTTATCAAAAATGGAGGATTATGGAAGTGGGAAACTGGTTTGTTAGAAAAATCATGAGTTAAGTTTGAGTTGCTTATGGGAGAGGGAGCTGATCGATAGTTGGATATGTGTGTCTTCCACTCAGGAGATAGCACCTTGGAAGGTCTGAGCTCAGGGAACAAATGCGCAAACATCAGGCCATGGGCAGTTGCTGAAGCCCTGGCTGTGTTCAGGATCAGTTGCAGGGGGTTATGGGAGTAAGAAGCCAAGAGAATCGAGATTTGAACCCTGGGGAACTCTTGAATCCACCTAAGGTTAGGTAGTAGTTGATGCTGCAAAGGAGACCAAGAGAAGGCAGTTGGAGATATAGAAGATGGTCGTTTCTTGTCAGTCTCGTTAGTTTTAGTTACTAAAACATTTGTGATCATGTATTAAATTATGCGAAACACAAAAATTGCTTGAAGTAAATTTCTGAGGCTTGGTTTTACTTTGCTGTGTTTTTAGAAATCTCTAAAGCCCCAAGGTTAATTTTGTCCTAATGAAGAGCTTTATGCTTTTTATAGCATGTATACAGGTAATGTGAATTTTTCTGCTGAAATATCACCACTCCACTCTAAAGAAAATGATTCTATAGGAGAGAGATATTTTGATTCAGGCCCCTTTATTGTCTGGTGTTTGAAAGACCACAGTGGACAGGAGAGGGTGCAGAGAGCGAGGCTGGGGAAGAGAAGCATTGGACAAGCCTGTACCTCTTTTATATATGCCCAAGACTTGCCTGATTCATTTTTATGGACTGCCCTGCTTTTGGCATAGAACAAGGGTAAAATAACCTTTCTAGCTACTCTTATTGAATATAAGGTCACCTAGCATGGAGTATCATCTATGAGTGTGATAAAAAAGCTCAGTTATAAGTCTAAGAAATGATATCCCTGAGCCTATGAAGTCACAGTCAGACAGGCCCCAAGTATTGTCTTCTGTTTTGTTTTAGTTAGAAGTGGGCAGAGAGGAAGCTCACACTCCACATAGTCATTGTGCATATTATGTATCCAATAAAGAAAATGTGAACGTCTTGGTCTGCTAGTAAGAAGGAGTTGGAATTTCATTTTGTAATCCAGGTGTTCCCAAATCATGTTTTGAATTACTGTGTTACATATACAGAGCCCTTCTGCTCTTTCAGTAGTATGTAAAGCCCCAAAGGTAGGATTTAAAAGGGGATAGTAGAAAAAATACTGATGGCAGTGGACTTCATCTAGTTAATTGTAAGTTCCTGGAGGGCAGGGACTCTGTCACTTTGGCAGCCAGCCTCCTGTTAATACCAGTTGACTGAATGAGGTGGATTGTGATGACAAGGTGGTGTAAGATTTCATACAGAAATCACCTGCCAGGCTGCTTTAAGACTAGGGGTTGTCCAAGGCAGGAATTCCTAACTGGGAGAGGATCCTGGCTGCCAGTCCTCTCCTACCCCTTACCTCTCAGCAGCCATAATGCTTAAAGGAAATCCCAAGAAGATTCTCAGTAGAGGGCTGGGGTCCCTTGGTTCACACCATTGATAGAATTTAGACAGGAATGTTCAGGGATGGCATGCATACCTGAAACAGAGGTTGCTTCTTTGGATTCCTATTTGGAAATCTGAGTATCCCAGCAGCTTGTAGAAATGGACATCTTCAGAGAGCTGAGCCACTGACCCCTCCGGAGGAAGGCCAAACAGTGTGGTCGTTGCTTGGTTTGTTGGGCTGAATGCCTTAAATGGTTATTACAGTTAGTAAAGCCTGGAAACTTTTAAAAATAGGTCAGGGGTCCATAAGATACTATGGTACACATCTACATGGGAATCTTTCAAGTCTAAAAACACAGGGTTTTTGTTTTTGTCACTGGATCATGTGTGCACTTAGGTTTCATCAGATTTTCAAGGAAAGGGGAAATACTGGTGATGAAGTGTTTTCAGGATAGAGCTCTAGGTATTAGGGAAAGAGTAGTGAACAAGACAGACATGGTCCCTGTCTTCATGTTAATAAACTACTAGATGAAATATGAAAGGTGCTGTGATCTGGGGGTGGAGGAGCCAACATAGAGTCTTATGTGTGCATGTTTTTTTCTGTATCCTGTTTCATTTTTGTATCAAATGTGGATTGAGTGGAACACCTATGATGTGCCAGGCCCTATACTAAGTGTTAGATATAGAATGATAAAGTTAAGGTCTCTGTCTCCGTGGGGAACCCTGAATATGTACAGCAAACCATCTTGTCTGTTAGGCATGGCATTTATGAGGTCCATTTTTCAGGATCACATGTTTTGTGGCTTTTACTCAAACCAAATGGGATTTTGTAAATGTGAGGTTGGGGGCGGTGGTGTTGTTGGGGGTTACTTATACACCATTTGAACAGACACCACTTCTTTTCTATTTATATTTCCTGTCTGAATTCCAGATTGGCGGCAGTAAGCACACAATGAATGATCACCTGCATGTCGGCAGCCACGCTCACGGACAGATCCAGGTTCAACAGTTGTTTGAGGATAACAGTAACAAGCGGACAGTGCTCACGACACAACCAAATGGGCTTACAACAGTGGGCAAAACGGGCTTGCCAGTGGTGCCAGAGCGGCAGCTGGACAGCATTCATAGACGGCAGGGGAGCTCCACCTCTCTAAAGTCCATGGAAGGCATGGGGAAGGTGAAAGCCACCCCCATGACACCTGAACAAGCAATGAAGCAATACATGCAAAAACTCACAGCCTTCGAACACCATGAGATTTTCAGCTACCCTGAAATATATTTCTTGGGTCTAAATGCTAAGAAGCGCCAGGGCATGACAGGTGGGCCCAACAATGGTGGCTATGATGATGACCAGGGATCATATGTGCAGGTGCCCCACGATCACGTGGCTTACAGGTATGAGGTCCTCAAGGTCATTGGGAAGGGGAGCTTTGGGCAGGTGGTCAAGGCCTACGATCACAAAGTCCACCAGCACGTGGCCCTAAAGATGGTGCGGAATGAGAAGCGCTTCCACCGGCAAGCAGCGGAGGAGATCCGAATCCTGGAACACCTGCGGAAGCAGGACAAGGATAACACAATGAATGTCATCCATATGCTGGAGAATTTCACCTTCCGCAACCACATCTGCATGACGTTTGAGCTGCTGAGCATGAACCTCTATGAGCTCATCAAGAAGAATAAATTCCAGGGCTTCAGTCTGCCTTTGGTTCGCAAGTTTGCCCACTCGATTCTGCAGTGCTTGGATGCTTTGCACAAAAACAGAATAATTCACTGTGACCTTAAGCCCGAGAACATTTTGTTAAAGCAGCAGGGTAGAAGCGGTATTAAAGTAATTGATTTTGGCTCCAGTTGTTACGAGCATCAGCGTGTCTACACGTACATCCAGTCGCGTTTTTACCGGGCTCCAGAAGTGATCCTTGGGGCCAGGTATGGCATGCCCATTGATATGTGGAGCCTGGGCTGCATTTTAGCAGAGCTCCTGACGGGTTACCCCCTCTTGCCTGGGGAAGATGAAGGGGACCAGCTGGCCTGTATGATTGAACTGTTGGGCATGCCCTCACAGAAACTGCTGGATGCATCCAAACGAGCCAAAAATTTTGTGAGCTCCAAGGGTTATCCCCGTTACTGCACTGTCACGACTCTCTCAGATGGCTCTGTGGTCCTAAACGGAGGCCGTTCCCGGAGGGGGAAACTGAGGGGCCCACCGGAGAGCAGAGAGTGGGGGAACGCGCTGAAGGGGTGTGATGATCCCCTTTTCCTTGACTTCTTAAAACAGTGTTTAGAGTGGGATCCTGCAGTGCGCATGACCCCAGGCCAGGCTTTGCGGCACCCCTGGCTGAGGAGGCGGTTGCCAAAGCCTCCCACCGGGGAGAAAACGTCAGTGAAAAGGATAACTGAGAGCACCGGTGCTATCACATCTATATCCAAGTTACCTCCACCTTCTAGCTCAGCTTCCAAACTGAGGACTAATTTGGCGCAGATGACAGATGCCAATGGGAATATTCAGCAGAGGACAGTGTTGCCAAAACTTGTTAGCTGAGCTCACGTCCCCTGATGCTGGTAACCTGAAAGATACGACATTGCTGAGCCTTACTGGGTTGAAAAGGAGTAGCTCAGACCTGTTTTTATTTGCTCAATAACTCTACTCATTTGTATCTTTTCAGCACTTAATTTTAATGTAAGAAAGTTGTTCATTTTGTTTTTATAAAATACATGAGGACAATGCTTTAAGTTTTTATACTTTCAGAAACTTTTTGTGTTCTAAAAGTACAATGAGCCTTACTGTATTTAGTGTGGCAGAATAATAACATCAGTGGCAGGCCACTGATTACTTCATGACTGCCACGCATTTACAGATTGGTGTCAAAGACATTCACTATGTTTTTATGGTTCATGTTATATCCTCCCCAGGGTGACAGCCCCTTAAGGCCCTCCTTTTCCCTCCATGCTCCAGGTCCATGCACAGGTGTAGCATGTCCTGCTTCCGTTTTTCATAAATTAATCTGGGTGTTGGGGGTAGTGGGAGGAGAACGGTCAGAATCAAAGTGACATTCTAAGAAAAACTGTACCTTAGAGATTTTCCTCTAGTGCTCAAACAAATACAAAATAAGATCCCCAAGGTTTAAACTGCCCAGTTAGCATTCTGACATTCTAAAAGCCGGCAAAGCAGCTTTTAGTGGATAAATGGGAATGGAAACGTGTGTGTTCCTCCAAATTTTCTAGTATGATCGGTGAGCTGTTTTGTAAAGAAGCCTCATATTACAGAGTTGCTTTTGCACCTAAATTTAGAATTGTATTCCATGAACTGTTCCTCCCTTTTCTCTGCTTTTCTCCTCTCTGTTCCTCTTTTAATACCACACGTCTGTTGCTTGCATTTAGTTTGTCTTCTTCCTTCAGCTGTGTATCCCAGACTGTTAATACAGAAAAGAGACATTTCAGCTGTGATTATGACCATTGTTTCATATTCCAATTAAAAAAAGAACAGCAGCCTAGCTACTTAAGGTGGGGATTTCCATAGTTCCAAAGAAGATTTAGCAGATTAGAGTGAGTTCACACTTTTCAGGTGCCACTGTAAGGTTCTCTCAGCCTGGGAAACTATCAACTCTTTCTTTAAAAAGAAAGAGGGTTGAAAATCCTCTGGACGAACAGAAGTCACTTTGGCTGTTCAGTAAGGCCAATGTTAACAACACGTTTAGAGGAGGAAAAGTTCAACCTCAAGTTAAATGGTTTGACTTATTCTTCGTATCATTAGAAGAACCCCAGAGATAGCATTCCTCTATTTTATTTTACTTTCTTTTGGATTGCACTGATTGTTTTTGTGGGAATGACACTTTATCTGGCAAAGTAACTGAGAGTTTGGTAAAAGAATATTTTCTTCTCTGAATAATAATTATTTTCACAGTGAAAATTTCAGTATTTTATCACTAATGTATGAGCAATGATCTATATCAATTTCAAGGCACGTGAAAAAAATTTTTTAGTATGTGCAATTTAATATAGAAAGATTTCTGCCTGTTTGGACAATAGGTTTTGGGTAGTACAGATTAGGATAAGTAAGCTTATATATGCACAGAGATTATTGTATTACCTGTAAATTGATTTACAAGTACTTAAAAGCGTGGTCCCCAGTGAGGCCAAGAAAGTTTCCGGTTAAGTTCTTTAATAATAATCCTACAGTTTATCTTAAGAAAAAAAAAAAGGTTTGAAAAAAACACTTTAATTTAGGCTTCGTTGGTTGATGGTGGAAAAAAATGCTCAGGAAATATTTCAGATATTTGCCAAAAAACCAGTAATAAGGTTACCTTATTAAAATAGTGATATTTGCTTTACTATTTAAGGTGTCACTGATAAATTAATTTGTACTTCTGTGTTTAGAAATTATAGCTTCTTTTCCCTTAGTCAAATTTTTTAGCATATTATACACATTTCTGTGTAATCTGTGGAAGTGCAATAATATGTTAGTAAGTTACATTTTAAATAATGCTCATGTGACAATACTCCCAATCAATGGCTTATAGAATTTAAAGATCTGTATATTAGATTTTGGCTTAAAGGCATGAGAAGTATAAGACTTGGTTTGGTGGCTTTGTAAGACCACCAGCCTCTTAATGATGGTTAGCTTCTTTAGGTCATTAAATCAATAAAAACATATAATGCTGTTTTGCTCTTCTAATGCTCCTCTTCCATTTCCAGTTATCTTCACATTTACATTTAAATATACAAACCTGAGCCTGCCATTATTAATTTCCCTATAAAATGACGATACATGTGAACATTTATAAATGGACTAATACTGCTTGTCTTTCCCCCACCGCACAAAACTGGTTCTTAAGATGCCAGCAATGAATTTGAGACTATCTTTATTTATAAATGGAAACCGGAAACTTTTATACCAAACTATAATAATGTGCAGCACTGTAGGGCTTTTTTTTTTTTCCCTCCAAATACAGTGAAATTTTTTTATTCACAAGAGCTGCCACATCTCAGCATTTAGTAATAGAGCTGCTTTAATAAAATTCTAGTTTGATTGTCATGTCAAAAAAAGAAAAATGTTGCATCTTTGTGATTTTAAAACATAAATTAATGAAGGCTCTGATAGGCTATTAGGAGTTGGCTTGGAAACAGTTTTTGGTCTCACAGGTTACCATTGTTTGGGGATGTCTGAGCTGTTTTCAGATCTAGGAATAGCACAGTGTTGTCTTGTCTTTGGCAGTCTCATTTGGCTCTGTTTCTTGCACCACCAGCGTGTTCATTACCACTTAAATATATTGCTACAGCAGTGGAACAACAGAGTGGTGCAAGACACTGTAGATTAACGGTAGAGGAGAAATTGTGCCCTTAGTGTTAACAATGTGCCTTTTGTTCTGAATGCCATGTTGTAGGGCATGCATTTTTTGGCCTCTTTAACTCTTCGAATTCTAGTCAGTAAGAATGGAACCCATCTCTGCAAAGATACATCTGTCTTAAATATCTAGTTACAGGCCTTAATAGAAACCATAAGGCATGACTCATCTTCAGGCACTGAAAAAAGATAACCATCAGGTAGTGTTACACAAGGACTTCCTATATTTAAGGGGTTAAAGATGGTCTTTGTTGTATCTTAACATCAGACTGATTTTTACATTTTTTTTTTGTTATGCTAACACTAGACAAAAATCAACTGTATTTGTAAAAATTTACCTCAAACCATTTAATTTTATAGTGTGATTAATCCCAGGGCATTTGGTATGAACCAAAGTGCATTCCTTTTATATGTGCCTGGCTCTAGTAAGGATGGCCAGGGATTTTTACAATTTGGGTGCAAGGCACTTAAGCCACTTTTAAACTTAATGGGTGGTTTGGGGTCGTGTTAAATGACTCCATCAGAATGTTAGAAAACACTTTAGGCATCAGTAGCATTGGGCCATATTGGAATCCTAAAGTGTGAATTATTTTAAGGAGAGCATTCATTTTTGTAATTTTTTTCATCAAAAATATTTCTGGTAAGCAGAAGACTTTTTAAAAAAACTGATCTGGTCTCGGTAAAGGTTTTAATATTGCCCAACATAATGCTGTAATAGCATTAAAAAAAGTATTTGTGAACTCTGTTTCTTAGGGGCTTGTACATCTCTCTGCTATGGACATACATAAAATTAATTGTAATTATACTCAGCTCAACTGCTACAGTTCTGTCTAGGCAGTGGCTTGGGTTTTTATCGAGCAACAACTTAGACACGTGACTGTAATATGCTGCAACTGTGTGTACTGAAAATATGTGAAAATGGTTGAATGTGGACTGTGTATATATGTATGTAAAAATTTCTGTGAGATGCTGCTGTCGCCACTTAACATTAAATATGTTCTAGTGGATTTTAATCCTAGTGGCCAGTTCTATGATACTGTATGTATTATACAGCTGATGACAGGAGTAAGACTGTTTAGTGAATATCTGTTAAATTTTATTGTTGTGGCCAGAGATAATTTCAGAATAAAATTTTAATGTCCTACCTTACTTCTCTCCCCTTTCTAACTATAATTTAACTCCTGATCTATTTCTGGTATTATCCTTTGTCAATTAGCCTGGAGAGGGTTTAGAATGCAAAATGGATAGCTCTATATCAGGGTCTTGAGAAGTTAAAATAATTCATTCTACTAGTTTGTTCATAGCAATACTTTATTAGTTCAATATAAGTATGCAGATTCCAAGTGGAAAAACAAAGGTTTTAGTAAGTAGTTCTTGCTTTTCCCAGGATATTCTATTCCTTCACCTGTCAGATTTTTATGTTAACTTTTTTATATATAGCCTCTGCTGTGTTCTTTATTATGCTAGAGCTTCATATCTTCTTTTATTTTAACCTTCACAATGATAGTTAAGCTGGGGGAGCAGAACCTGTCAATTATTCCCCACCAGTCTTCATTCTTTTCTCTGCACAAGTTCTGGTAAATTATTCTAATGTGCTCTAACCAGTTCCACCCAATGTTTTTTAATGCTTATGAGTTTGCAGTTTTTGTACTTGGTGGTCTCTGTGGTTCACATTTTTTTGTGTTGTAGTGTCTCCTGCCTCGGTTGGCTCAGAAAATAAGGCCTAGGAACTGCAATTAGCTCATGATTTGTCAAGTTCAGTTAGTACCAAGCTAAGAGTTTACTTACAGATGACAGCAAGCAGATGCTCTAGTAATTCGTCAGACATTGCAGGGATATTGTGTAGTCAGATATTACCCTCTTGTGGAAAGAACTACCTCACATCATTATTTATTTCCCTTCTGTTACCAACAGCCAAGGAATTACTTAGTGTGGCTCCCTGCATCAATACTGGGATATGCTTAAACAAGGGAATGCCATAAGAGTTCCCAATTGCCTCGTCATAGCCTGGGCCATAGATTTTTGTTACTGCTAATCTTGCTTCTTAAAGTTCACACCCAGTGCAAAAAACCCAATCAGCAAACTAACCCCAAAATCCAATATATTTAGAAATGTAAGTGTTAAGAGATGTGCATTATGTACAAAATTGAAAATTGGTGCTAAAGTGGCAATGTCAATTTAAAATTTCTTGTCCAGATCTGACTGACTGACTCAGGAGATTATAGTTCCTACTCATTCTCTTTCCTTTTATCAGATCTTTCAAAAGCGCTTTTTAAAATTGATCAATGTGCAATTCTGTTTGAGTCTCTACAGTCCTATCCCTTTTGGAATGAACAGCTACACAAATAAATATTCTTGGAACTTCGAAGTTGTCTTCAAACTAGCTCTAGAAAATGTCCCTAGTTGACATTAGTGTTGGTCTGTTAGAAGGGGAAATTGATTTGACTGCTTCATGTTTTGAAAAGAGCATTAAGAGGGATTTGAGGAAGGTATATGTGGCTTTCTTTTTTTTTCTTAAGTTTGAATTACACTTGATTTCCTTTGGGTTATTAGGCAGATAAACCCTTGTCATTAGTAATACTTAGCACTGTCCAAAATGAAAAATGACTGCCAGTGTGTTGCACATACATAAGAAAATTACATCTTACTGCGAAGTCTTTGGTTTGTTTCCTTATTTGGTTTGACTTTGACTTACTATTTTGCTATGGTCATATCCTTAATATCTGCGGTACATTTCATATATATATATGGGGTGGGAGCATAATTGCCATTCCCATGTGTCTCAAGGAAGCTTAATGAGGAAACTAATGAGTTAATATTAACTCTTCTGAAGAAAGCTGACATTTTAGGAGTATTAAGTCATCTGTCGTTAAGGAGCAGCAAGAATATATTATGATTGTATCACATGTTCCAGAAGAGCATTACCCCTTACATAGAAAGCTCCTTGGAGATTTCATGATGTTGGATGAACATCAGTTTATCCTTATACATCCCTATGAGCTATAATTATCCTCATTTGATACTTGAGGAAACTGAAGTGACTTGCTCCAAAGTTGACTACAAAAACATTGCAGTTTGAGGCTTAGGTTGTAATCAGGTAATTTTGGTCTTGGACAGTAAGGGAAAATCCATAATACATAAAACACAAAAGTTTAGAAAGGGGGGGAAGTTGAGCTAGCAATGGGCATTTCTATTATTTAAGTTACATATCAGTTTCCAGGAATATTTTTCAAATGGGACAAACTAAAAAGTTGAGGACTAGAGCATCGTAGTGTCTAAGTGCACCTAATAACTTAATGCATGTGCACACACCCTCAGTTAATTTGTAAGAGAGTGACTTCTCATTGTTATTTGTGGAGAGGCTAATTATAGTAGCTTCATTCTTTATTTTCTGTGTTCTTAAATTTTTTTTTACATTTGAAAGTATGAAAATACTATTTTTGACACTTTACTGATACTCAGGGATTAAAAGTTAAATTTTACTGACTGTAGCAGCAGGTAAATCTCTTAAATTTACTCAGGTTTCCTATCCTTTGCCTCCATATTTAAGAAAATATAGAATGCCTGCCAGGGAAATATATAAAAATAAAAATTTCAAATACAATTTTAAAATACCAATTTGTAAATAAACCAATTTTACAAACTAAAATATTGTGTCTTTCCTTGCTTTTTATCCCAATTTATCTCCCCTCCTAAGTTTGAGGAGTTTTATATATTAAGGCTATTTCTTCATTTGTAAAAATGAAGTATGCTATTTGCAAAGCAAAAGCCCATGAAAAGCCCCAAATCATTTAAGTAAAGCTTACTGAATTGTTTTCAATTGTTTTGGGAGAAATGTAACTAATTATAAGCAATTTATGTGGACCAGCAGCAAATAAATGTATGAGTACATTTGGGCGAATTTGTCATCTTTTTATCTGAAGAGGAATACCCTACTTAATTTCCCTTGTCTGTAAAATTGAGTTTATCAGAATTTTGGCTAGGGTAGCTTTAAATATATATATAGAAAATGCAGATGGCATTTATTTGTCAAATATTTATTAAATAAGCCTCCTACAGCCCAGAATCTTGTAGGCACTAGGGATATATAATGCTGAACAAAACACACAGTGCCTTTTTCAGGGAGTTTTTAGACTGGTTGGGAAGGCAGACATTACATGGGTAATTATATGAACAAATACATATTTTATACAACAAATACTTTGCATAGTTGCAAAGTAGTAAGTGCTGTGAAGAAAAAGCATGTTGTGCTGAGTGTGTGTGCAATGTTGTATGGATCAAAGATGGCTTCCCCAGGAAACAAATAGCTTTTGAGCTGAGGAACAAAGAGCATGAATAGAGACCCTGTAGCTAGCTAGAGGAAATAAGGTGAACAACTGAAGGCAGGGCCACTTGGCCAGAGCCCAGAGAATGAGAGAATTTGGTGTGAAACGAAAGTGATGAGGTGAACCAGAACATGCCAAGCCCTGTAGGTGCTATTAAGGATTTTGGTCCTTACCCTATAAGTAAGGAAGCCACCAAGAGATTTTTGAGGAGGAAATGCCATGAGCAGATTGGCTCTTCCTGGCTGTCTTTATAGGAAAGTACTGAGAAGGGTAAGAGTAGATGAAGGAAGCCCAACTGGAAGTGTTTGCAAGATATGGCAGACTGGCCCACAGGATGGGGATGGACATTTAAAGAAAATGGATTTGAGGGCTCATAAGGATACAGAAAAACAGATGCTCTCTGATTTACAATAGGTCAACTTAAAATGTTTTGAGTTTGTGATGGGTTTATCTGGTATTGAATGCACTTTCAGTTTACAACATTTTCAACTTCGGATGGGTTTATCAGGAAGTAGCCCTTTCATAAGTCCAGGCCCATCTGCATTAAGGTAGAAATAACAGTGATGTCTCTTTGTGTCTGAAAAGTTGTTGTTGCTATTTGTGTCTGGTTTGCTACATTGCATCAAAAGGAATCACAGTATCTTACTTGTTTAAGAAAAGAAAGGGTTGCAAATTAATGCCTTTGGTTACAAAGTATGAAGCACTGGTATACTATCTTTTGCTGAAGATTTGAAGCCTTTGAGTAGAATCTTGTTTATTCATTCATTCAAATTCTTTTCAGGAAATTTTAAATTTTAAAAAGATTATAAAAATGGGGTGGGGGGATTTTACATATTAAGTTTTTATATTAAGACTAAAATGAATGAAGGGAAGAAGGGAGGGAGGGGGAGAGGGAGGCAACTAGATTCGTGAGAAAGAAAAACAGACTAGGAGGTCAGCAAAGGCTGCTGTGGCCTAGTGGCTGAATGTGGTGTTCTGAAGGAGGAAGGAGCTCAAGAGCAAGCAAGGCAAACTCCCTCTCCCCCTCCCTGCCTTTCTTCTTCCCTTCCTTTCATAGAAATTAAACTTTTACTCTCTAAGATGGTATATTTGGATTTGGCATATTTGAGTTTACCAAAACAAAAAAAAAATTATAAAAAGTGAAAGAGGAGGAGAAGGAGGAGATCAATCCCTGCCTTTGAGGACATTATGTTTAATTAGGAAGACAAGATTGGACAGAAAATATTAAGTTTAGAACATTGAAAGATGAAATTCAGAATAAGTGCAGGTCATTTGTGTTGCTCTTGGATAATAATAGCTTTCAGAAGGTGGGTCTCCAGCCAGGACTTGATGGAATTCAGATTGAGAGAGAGAAAAAGGATATTCTAGGAGAAGCAAATTGCTTTAACTGAGGGATGTCATGAATCATTCATTCGTATGTCATCCAGTATTTACTGAGCACCTACGTGTATAATTTTTGGCATAATGCAAAGGATGGGCAAAGAGACTGGGTTTGTGGCAGTGTGAAGAAGGGAGAATAATTTCTTCGGAAGGTAGGCCTTGTCCTGTGGTTTTTCTCAAATGTGCCATGTTGTTGTAGCCACAACACATGTGCTGTCTCTGTCTAGAGTGCATTTGCCAATCTCTGCCTCATCCTGTGAGATTCAGCCCAGACCAGATGTCACTGCCCCTACAAAGTCCTCTTTAAGCTGAGGTTGAGCAAGATCACCCTTACCAAAAGGTAACACTGGCAATCTCTCTGCTAACTGCAAGGTGAGTAGAACTGAGTTGAGAAGGCAGCAGAATCCTCTCCCCTGTTTCCCTCCATCCTTCCCATTGGGCACACACTGGCAAAAAAAAAAAAAAGAAAAGAAAAACAAAAAGCAAGTGATGTATGAAGATACCATGTTAGTAAGGGAGGTACTTGTTAACCAGACAATCATAAAATGTTTATAGTTTGTAAGCAGTGCCCAGCATGAGAAGAAGCAGCTAGATTCGTGAGAAAGAATAACAGACTGGGAAGTCAGCAAAGGCCGCTCTGGCATAGTGGCGTGGATGTGGTGTTCTGAAGGAGGAAGGAGCTGAAGAGCAGGCCAGAGCACGGGGTGGAGGCTTGCCAAGTCTGGAGTTTGGTGAGCCAGGGGAAAGCTCGTGCAGGATAAGGAGGGACAGAAATGCAATGCCGGACCTTGGAGAAGGCCACACAGACCATTTGGAGGAGCTGGGAATTTATTCTGATTACACCAGGAAGCCATTGATGCATGTACAATAAATTAAAAAAAAAACAAAAAAAAAATCATTCTGGTTTCCTATGGAGAAAAACTGGAGGGGAGCCATATGGAGATGGTGCCACTCTATGAGACAGAGGACTTCTAACCATCTGGGAGGAGTTGAGAGAGATCATTTGATGGAAGAATGGTCCTCCACCAGAAGTTCTGTTTAAGAAGTGAAGTGAGGTGGGGATAAGGCTACGCAGGATTCTGAGGATACCATTTGTGTTGCTATTTTTGTAATTGAAATAATGTAGGCTGAAAAAAAGTGTTTTTACAGCGTGACTACGTAAAAATTACAGATGCAATGTAATTAATCTATAAAGGACATTTAAAACCAGTAAGAAAAATGCTAATATTCCAGTGGAAAAAAGAGACAATAATACCTTCAAAAAATTTACATGAGCAACATAAATGGACCAAAAAAATTATAAATTATAAATCAAAGTAATAAAAATTAAAGCCATGAGTTTATTTTTAACCCACAAAATATCAACAATTAATTAAACAACCATTTTTATTGCTAGCAAGGGTGTGGAGTGATATAAAGCACTCGTTTGATGCTGCTGGGGCATAATTAGCAGAGCCTTTCTGGAGGGCACTTGGTAATCTGTACCAAGAGCTTTAGAAATGCTCATTCATTTTTACCTGTTGATTCTACTTCCAGAAATTGGTATCAGAATCCATGATGTAAACAAAGAGTTATGTACAAGAATAATCATATCTACTAGCACAAACTTAGAAAAAAACCTTGTATCTATTAACAGAGGTTTGCTTAATAAATTATATCAATTATGAACAACATGTTTACAGTGTAATATTAAAGAAAAAAAGGGGGGCACACAAGTGAATGTCCTCCCTACCAAAGCAGGCAAAGGCAGAGGCAGAGATGGCATTGGGAAAAGAATTAGAAAGAAATACAGCAAAGTATTAACAGGTAGCTGATACTAATTTTAATTTTCTTATATATTTTTCATCAGTTTTCACAATAACCATATTTTAAAAATATATTTAAAAACTCAATACATTATTATAAAGAAAAACATTTGTAAGGAATGAATAAAACCAAAAGAAAACTGCTATGGACTAAGTAAACAGAGCACTTTAATAATAGGGAGGAAATTTGCTTCCTGGCCTATTGAACCATGTGAACCAGTTCCTACATTTGCCAGGTACTTTCTCACTTCTGGTTTCCACCAACTTGGAATATGGCCCTCTCCTTGGCCTGGCTCACTCCTGCTGTCCCCATGTCTCAAGTAGCTGTGCTTCCTCCCTCTGCCCTGCCTGTCTCCCTCACTCAGCCTTCATCAGATGAACTGAGAGGATCCTGCCATCTCCCATGTTCATCTCAGTGACTACTTTCTAGACCTTAGAATTGAGTGGTCAGGCTGGTTTAATTATCACACTTTGGGTTCCTTGAGGGCCAGGGACTGTCTTTCTTGCTGACATAAAGGGACGATCCCCAGGGACTGACATAAAGTTTGGGACAAAACAGGGCCTCAGTAAAAGTTTGTGAGTGAGTAAATTGCTTGGGGAGGGTGGTTCAAGAGAGATGTGCACAAAGGAAGGCATCTTTGAGATGGCTTTGAGAAGGAGTTTTGGAGAGAGTGCAGGAAATGGAACGTATTACCCAGTGCCTGGAGGCTGGTGGTGAGGAAATGGTGTGGTGGGTACAGGCCCGCTCATGAACGTCGGCCGTGAATGTGGGGAGATGGAGAGAAAGATGATGAGCAAAGGTGGAGCAAGTGAGTATTTTTTCCAGGTAGGCAAAAGTAATCAGTCTAGTACTTTCTTCTACTTAAACTCTCCACTGACCTCTCATCACACTAAGGATAACATGGGTAATTTCCTTGACATGTCCTTCAAAGCCCTTTGCGATTGGGCTCCTGCTTCTTTCCAACGTCATTTGGTTCCATTCTTCCCTGGCTCAGTGCATTCCAGCCACATCTGTTTTCTGTGTGTTTCCTGAATGTCTGTCTCATTCCTGCCTCAGGACATTAGTACTTCCTGCTCCCTCTGCTGAAACCCCTCTGCGCTCTCTCCTTGTGTGGTTGGTGTCTTACTGTTTATCACTTAGATCTGACACTATCTGCTTAGATAGTACTTCCTTGGCCACTCTACCAGTGCCCATTTCCCCCACCCCTAGTCCTTCTCTGTCACGTTACCCTGTTTATTTTTTTTTTAAGTGTCTTACAAAAGACACTGATCAGTGTCTGGAAAAACCTTATTTATCTGTTTAATGATTGTTTATTGTCTGTCTCCCTCAATAAGTGTAAGTTACATTATGCTAGTTCTTGTTACCTCTGTATTTCCTATTGCCTTAAACAGCACTGGCATGCAGTAGGCATTCCACAACTGTTTGTTATTGAATATAAAGGCTTATGTGTGTTGGAGGAAGTAAAGAAGAAGCCAGTGGAGAGGGAGAAATTAGAAATGTTATATGCCAGGAAGGCAAATAGGTATCATTTCTAGTGCCAACCTTGAATGCTTGGTAGTGGCTGCCTAGAACCCTGCCTTAGGATTATGCAGTTTCCTCAGGGTTCAGCAGAAAACAACGCTATAATTGATTAACAATGTCTTATTGCTAATTAGCAAATTCCATAGGCATAGGAAGGGGCAGTTTAGTGGTTGAATAATAGACTTCTATTTCAGTGTGCATTGCTTCAATTC
The DNA here is from genome assembly GCF_000001405.40 of Homo sapiens. Lineage (NCBI taxonomy): Eukaryota > Metazoa > Chordata > Mammalia > Primates > Hominidae > Homo > Homo sapiens. Next base: position 67,670,760 of record NC_000012.12, read on the forward strand.
TTGTCTTGACACATGGACATTGTTTTCAGGATATGGCTGAGACTAGATCTCAGTTAATGTATAGGTTGTTGGGTTTTTCCTTTACAAACCTGTATAATATGAAGAGCACAGATGCTTTTGTATCTTCTTCTTCTTCTTCTTCTTCTTCTTCTTCTTCTTCCTATTATTATTATTATTATTATTATTATTATTATTATTGAGATGGAGTCTCGCTCTGTCACCCATTCTGGAGTGCAGTGGCAAGACCTCGGCTCACTGCAACCTCCACCTCCCGAGTTTAAGCGATTCTCCTGGCTCAACCTCCCAAGTAGCTTGGACTATAAGCATGTGGCAACATGTCCGGCTGATTTTTGTACTTTTAGTAGAGACGGAGTTTCACCATGTTGGCAAGGCTGGTCTCAAACTCTTGACCTCAAGTGATCCGCCTGCCTCAGCCTCCCAAAGTACTGGGATTATAGGCATGAGCTGTCACACTCGGCCATAGTATAATTTACTAATTTGTTCTTTAATGTGATATTTGTCCATATGTGTGTATGCCTTCAGTGGTATGGGAAAAGGACAGCAAGTATTTCTTAATCATCTTAGTCTCCTTTCTTTTATACTTTCAGTGCTTGATCTTTTGGGTGATATCAGAATGGTAGCTACTTCTGGGTAAACATCATTAACAAGCCCTCTGGCCAGCAGTAAGAGGTGGCCTCCCTGGGATGACAAGGTAGAAGGGAGCTGCAGTTGAGTTGTTTTCCTATTTCAGATACTCCCTATCTCCTTTTAGGTTTGGAATCTGCAAGTCTCTTACCCTCTAGGCTAATTATTTCCTTTTGAGAGCAGTGAGGCCTTTTATCAAGATGGCTACATTCTTGTGTGTCCTGACGCACAAATGATGAGTAATGGGCTGATTAGCCCAGTGACCTTCATGAATGATAAAAAGGGAACATAAAGATGAGAGGTTTTTCCCACTCTGGGAATCAGCTTCTCTCTGGACTTTTTTCAAGACATGCTCCCTTACAATAAATAGTACATTGCGCTTATTTCTTGTCTGATCCATGCATCCTGATATTTTGAAATGAGAATTTTAAAACCAAGGATGGAGTACTTGACTCCCAGGCCCCTGACCAGGATCTGCTTAGCACACACTATTTAATAGTGTTCAGATTAACTTCTGGGCACCTGCGAGCCACCACAGTGCTGCTATTTTGATAATCCCATGGTTTAGAGGCCCTGACACCATGGCCACTTCCACCTTTTACTCTGATTAAGCGCTCATGTTGCTATTCTGTGAACCAGTGCCAGAGAGGAAGGTTGGCTCTCTGTTTGGAAGTGGCCCAAGCTTCTATTATAACCACTTTGGGAAAAAAGGCAAAAGAGCAGCTGTCCTACACAGTGTCTTTCTCCTCCTCCTGCTCACCCAGTCTGAGCTCAGACTTACCATGATTCCCTCATTTGACCTCGAGCATATCACCATCAGGGGTTTGCAATTCAAAGTACAGCATCACAGCAGACAGAACAATGGCTTGGCCAAAGATGTCCATGTCCTTATCCTCAGAATATGTGAACAGGTTAGGTTGCATGATGTTTTGACTGCATTGTGTTTTCCCAGAACTCATATGTTGAAGCCTAACCCCCAATGTGTCTGTATTTGGAGATAGGGCCTTTAGGGAAGTAATTAAGGTTAAATGAGGTTGTAAGGATGCTGTTTGTATTAGTCCATTTTCACACTGCTGATAAAGACATACCCAAGACTGGGAAGAAAAGAGGTTTAATGGACTTACAGATGCACATGGCTGGGGAGGCCTCGCAATCATGGAGGAAGGCAAGGAGTAGCAAGTCACATCTTATGTGGATGGCAGCAGGCAGACAGAGGGAGCTTGTGCAGGGAACTCCTCTTTTTAAAACCATCAGATCTCATGAGGCTTATTCACTGTCACGAGAACAGCATGAGAAAGACTTGCCCCCATGATTCAACTACCTCCCACCACATCCCTCCCACAACTCATGGGAATTCAAGATGAGATTTAGGTGGAGACACAGCCAAACCATATCATCCCACTCCTGACCCCTCCCAAATTTCATGTCCTCACACTTCAAAACAATCATGCCTTCCCAACAGTCCCCCAAAGCCTTAACTCATTTCAGCATTAACTCAAAAGTCAACAGTCCAAAGTCTTATCTGAGACAAGTCAAGTCCCTTCTGCTTATGAGCCTGTAAAATCAAAAGCAAGTTAGTTACTTCCTAGATACAATGGGAGTACAGGCATTGGGTAAATATAGCCATTCCAAATGGGAGAAATTGGCCAAAACAAAGGGGCTACAGGCCCCATGCAAGTTTGAAATCCAGCAGGGCAGTCAAATCTTAAAGCTCCAAAATGATCTCCTTTGACTCCATGTCTCACATCCAGGTCATGCTGATGTAATAGGTGGGTTCCATGGTCTTGGGCAGCTCTGCCTCTGTGGCTTTGCAGGGTACAGCCTCCCTCCTGGCTGCCTTCACTGGCTGGCATTGAGTGTCTGTGGCTTTTTTCAGGTACACAGTGCAAGCTGTCAGTGGATCTACCATTCTGGGGTCTGGAGGACAGTGACCCTCTTCTCACAGCTCCACTAGGCAGTGCCACAGTAGGTACTCTGTGTGGGGGCTCCCACCCTACATCTCCCTTCCACATGCCCTAGCAGAGGTTCTCCATGAGGGCCCTGCCCCTGCAGCAAACTTCTGCCTGGACATCTCCAGGTGTTTCCATACATCTCCTGAAATCTAGACACAGGTTCCCAAACCTCAATTCTTGACTTTTGTGCACTCGCAGGCTGAACACCACGTGGAAGCCACAAAGGCTTGAGGCTTGCACCCTCTGAAGCCATAGCCTGAGCTCTACATTGGCCCCTTTCAGCCATGGCTGGGACACAGGGCACCAAATCCCTAGGCTGCACACAGCATGGGGACCCTGGGACCAGCCCACGAAACCACTTTTTCCTCCTAGGCCTCCAGGCCTGTGATGGGAGGGGCTGCTGTGAAGACCTCTGACATGCCCTGGAGATATTTTCCCCATTGTCTTGATGATTAACATATGCCTCCTCGTTGCTTGTGCAAATGTCTGCAGCCAGCTTGAATTTCTCCTCTGTAAATGGGATTTTCTTTTCTATTGCATTGTCAGACTGCAAATTTTCCAAACTTTTATTCTCTGCCTCCCTTGTAAAACTGAATGCCTTTAATAGCACCCAGGTCACCTCTTGAATGCTTTGCTGCTTAGAAATTTCTTCCACCAGATACCCTAAATCATCTCTCTCAAGTTCAAACTTCCACAAATCTCTAGGGCAGGGGCAAAATGCCACCAGTCTCTTTGCTAAAACATAACAAGCATTACCTTTGCTCCAGTTCCCAACAAGTTCTTCATATCCATCTGAGACCACCTCAGCCTGGACCTTATTGTCCATATTGCTATCAGCATAATGCCATCCAACAAGTCTCTAGGAAGTTCAAAACTTTCCCACATTTTCCTGTCTTCTTCTGAGCCCTCCAGACTGTTCCAACCTCTGCCTTTTACTCAGTTCTGAAGCCGCTTCCACATTTTCGGGCACCTTTTCAGCAGTGCCCCACTCTACCCATACCAATGTACTGTATTAGTCCATTTTCACACTGCTGATAAAGACATACCTGAGACTAGGAAGAAAAGAGGTTTAATGGATTTGCAGTTCCACATGGCTGGGGAGGCCTCACAATCATGGAGGAAGGCAAGGAGGAGCAAGTCACATCTTACATGGATGGCGGCAGGCAAAGAGAGCGTGTCAGATCTCATTAGACTTATTCACTATCACAAGAATAGCACAAGAAAGACTTGCCCACATAATTCAGTTACCTCCTACCAGGTCCCTCCCACAACAGGTGGGAATGAAAAATGAGATTTGGGTGTGGACACAGCCAAACCATATCAGTGTCCTAATCTAATAGGACTGGTGTCCTTATAAGAGGAGGAAGAGGCATCAGAGCTCACGTTCTCTCTACATGTGCACAGAGTAAACACCATGTGAGGACACAGCAAGAATGCAGATATCTACAAACCAAGGAGAGGCCTCATCAGAAACAGATCCTGCTGGCACTTTGATCTTGGACTTCCAGCCTCCGGAATTGTGAGAAAATCAGTGTCCGTTGCTTAAGCCACCAGCCTGCAGTATTTTGTTATGGTAGCCAGAGCACTGAGTACACATAACAGAGAGGAATTAAAGTTGCAGATGGAAATTAAGGTTGCTAATCAGCTGACATTGAGATGTGGAGAGGAGCTTGGATTATCTAGGTGGGTCCAATGTAATCCTTAAAAGTGGAAGAAGGCAAAGGTAATGAAGTCCTATTGACACCTTGGTTGTAACCTAGTGAGAACTGTATTGAATCTTTAACCTAAAACACTGTAAGATAATCAATTCACATTATTTTAAACAACTACATTTTTGGTAATTTATTACAATATCAAGAGAAAATCAGTATAAACATGTTAGGGCATATTTTCTGTTTAATAACACTTTAATGAATATTTTGGATATACACACATACTTGGGATTCATTTCCTCCAGAAAGAAACATTGATATAGGGAACAATAAAATGACAAATTTTATTCTATCTGTAGCCCCTATAAGTTGCCACTATGAGAACACTGAGTAAATGGAATAAAAAAGAGCACAAATTTGCCCTTTCAGTTTATTTTTCTTTCTTTGCCAAAACCAAAACCCACCAGAAGCAAAAATATTAAAGAACTCTGTATTTAAATTTAATTCGCTATTTAAATAAAGCAAAATTGAGGGTAACGTAATACCTACCTGCAAAGGAACTTTTGAGTAATAGCTAATTCTCACCTTTATAATCATTACTTTTGAGAGAGAAAGAGAAAGAGCTTTTGTGTGTGTGTGTGTGTGTGTGTGTGTGTGTGGTGTATTGTACTATATTGTGTGTGTGGCTTGTTCAGAGATTTTGAGAAACCATTTGTGGTTTCAGGACTCACAGCCATTGAAGGCAGCTTTCCATTACTGTATTTTGTAAAAAGACTTCACTGTTCTCTCTGGATTTTCTATTCTCTCTTGTCAACAATCCATTTTTATTAGTTATTAAATAAACCAACCCTTAATTTCCTTCACAGTAAATACAGTATTACCTGTGCTGATCTCTGAAAAGGCCTTTCTTAATACCAATTAACTTTTGAAATACTCACAGTTCCTAATATTTTATCATCTCTGGAAAAATAAAAAGGAAGAGAGTGCATAGTCAAATGCACACATTCTCCTTTTCTCAATTGGAAGTAATTTTCTCCCTCCAGCCTCTCTCTGTTCCTTAGCCCTCTGTGCTATTTTCACTTTGTATCAATTACTTACATTTACTCTTTAAACATCTTCCGTAATTTGCTCCAACTCCCCTGCAGCTTTCGATAGTAATTCTTTTTAAATTCCCCTTTTCACAGTACACACACTTTGAAGAACTTTAAAAGAAAATACCAGTATTTAAAATTGAGACTTAAGATGATCATGTTCTTGTAGGCAGATGTAAATATTGTAGTTATACTCTCTTGAGTATTTTTTAGTAGTGTTAGAACTTTCAGCAGTGGTTAGAACTGGTTTGTGCTGCAAACGGTTTTAGTGACGGTATCCTGAATGCCTGTACTCTGTACTCATTATATATAAAAGGTAGCATAACACAATGATCCAATTCATAATATGCCTTCCCCTAATTTTTACATCACACGTTTCAATTCTGAGACAGAATTTGGCTGAAGTATTTAAGATTTTCTTATGGTTTTGAGTTGTTTAAATGTTGATACATATATTTCCAAATATGACCTCATTGGAGAGTCAGTGTATTTGGCTGACAATTAAATAAAGTTTATAAGCTTACAAAAAGGGATGCATACTACAGCCAAGTTGAAAAAGTAACACTTGGGCACAAAGCTACTTGGCTTACTTTCATTGGGTTGTCTTTTGTGATATTAGGCAAATAATTTCATTTTTTAAAATTTCTGCTGTTGGGCAAATGAGCCTGTTGTTGAGGCTTACTCATATGAATGTTTAAATTTTTCTCCTCTGACATCAGTCATTCATCAAAACCACCTGGGTATCCAAAACCTATATTTATGGTTTCACTGTATTATGGTTTTGCATTATTCATCTGCTAAATATCTTTTGAGTACCATTGTTCATCATTGCATCTCAGTGCCTAGAATAGGAAGAAGAGCTAACAAGAATAGTTCCTAATAATTAGGATCACTAATTATGTGCCAGGCACTGCTCCCTATAGCCCTCTGATGCAGGTACTATTGTTATCCCCATTTTACAGATGGGGAAGCTAAACCATAGACAGAGTGTCTTAGCTAGGACTGCTATAACAAAATATCATACACTGGGTGGCTTAAACAACAAACATTTATTTCTCACAGGTCTGAAAGCAGGGAACTCCAAGATCAAGGTGCTGGCAAATTCGGTTCTGGCGAGCGCCCTCCTCCTGGCTTTCAGACAGCTGCCTTCTTGCTGTGTTTTCACATGATGGAAATAGAGGGAGTGTGGTCTCTTGCTCATCTTATAAGGACATTAATCCCATCATTGGGTTCCCACCCTCATGACCTCATCTAAACAGAATTACCTCCCAAAAGTCCCACTTCCTAATACCATCACAGTGGGGACAGGGCTTTAACATATGAATTTTGGAGGGATACATACATTCAGTCCATAACACAGAGGAAGTAACTCATCCAAGGCCTCATAGCTAAAAGGTGGTAGAGTTGGAATTGAACCAAGGATTCACACTTGAAAGTCTGTTTTTAACCAGAATGAGTGAGTGAGTGAGTAAGGCACTTATGTTTCCCAAATTTCTTGAAACAGAGTAAAAATGTTGACGAAAAACATATAGCCCATGGGAAACAAATACTACTTGGAAAGGCATAACAGCTTCTCACCTGTTGAGGAGTATTCCATCTTCCTGACCTCCTATTTAAACAAACAAACAAAAAAACCACACCCAGCATCACTCTGTTACTCTGTTATACTGATGTTGAAGGACTTTTGCATACACTTCTGGAAACTGGGACAACTGAGCACTACTGACCTGCCTCAGGGATGTTGTGAGGGGTAATGAAAGTTTGTGGAATGTTTAAGACATGAGTGAAAGACTTTGAAGTAATGCAAATTCTTATAAAATACAAAAGTTATTGCTGGCCCGGCGTGGTGGCTCACACCTGTAATCCCAGCACTTTGGGAGGCTGAGGCGGGCGGATCACGAGGTCAGGAGTTTGAGACCAGCCTGGCCAACATAGTGAAACCTTGTCTCTACTAAAAATACAAAAATCAGCCAAACATGGTGGCACATGCTTGTAATCCCAGCTACTCAGGAGGCTGAGGCAGGAGAATCACTTGAACCTGGGAGGTGGAGGTTGCAGTGAACTGAGATTGCACCACTGCACTCCAGCCTGGGGGACAGAGCGAGACTCCGTCTCAAAAAAAAAAAAAGTTATTGTTTTTATATTGTTATTGTCCCTGGGAATCTTTGCTATCGGTGTACTGTGTACTTCCTGCCTACCTCTGAGTTTGTAAAGTAGGTAAAAGAGCAGATGTGATTGCTAAGAATATAGCATTGACCTCTATGTAAAATTTATAGGTTCTCACACAGAGTGCTGAGGCTTTTGATCAGCATCTTTGAAAGTATTGCTTGTATACATTTCAAGTAAAAGATCATTCTAATTATTTCATAGTCATACTTTACATGAAAGAGCTTTGTAAATAATTGGAAAATCTTTAACAAGCTTTGATTAATAATGCTGGCTTTAATTTTAACTTCATATTATTGTTTTCCAAATGATTTCCATAATAGAGACCATGGTGGATCTAAGCATGAGATTTTAAGTTCCTGCCTTTCAAAGGTGTGGCTAAAAACAAGGAGGATAGAAAACACTGTGTGCTGTCATGCCAAGCTCTCTGTGTAGGGACTTTATCTTCACCATTGCATTTCATCCTCAAAACAGCCCTGCAAGGTAAGTATCTGTATTTTATAGATGGGAAAAACTAAGATTCAGAAAGTTTACATAACTACAAATCTGGTAAGAACTAGAGCCGAGATCCATTTCCTGCTCTGTCTTTTCTCACAGTTGTTGCTACAAGGCCACTGAGCTGACTCACCACCCCGGGAGTCAGTGAAGGCTTCCCCGAGGAAGCAGTGTTTGAGCTGAGCCTTGAAACAGAAGTAAGAAGACTCCAGGTAAATGAGAATAGCAAGTGCATTTCAGGCAAAGGAAAGGAAGTGTGAATGAGCAGGTGTGCCCTGTGAACTAAAGATGGCTGTCCAGGGCAGAGCATGCATTTTACGAGGCTTGCAGGAGACCCAGTATTACAAGTAGGAGATTCAACAGGACCACCAATACTGGGCATGCAGGTGTCGCCATGCAACTGTAGAAACGGGAATGTCTGGTCTCCAAATTCTCATTGATCAGAGAAAATAAGAATGGGGTAATGAAATAATTTTTTCCTGAGGTGTATTCTTAACTTCCAACTAAATTTTCACTGCTGAATCTTCATAGCCAACACTGCACAAGTGTTATTGACACAGTGCATTGGACCCAGAGAATGGAAAAGATGCTAGGCTTTTTTTTTTTTTTTTTTTTTTTTTTTGAGACGGAGTCTCACTCTGTCGCCCAGGCTGGAGTGCAGTGGCGCGATCTCGGCTCACTGCAAGCTCCGCCTCCCGGGTTCACGCCATTCTCCTGCCTCAGCCTTCTGAGTAGCTGGGACAACAGGCCGCCACCACACCCGGCTAATTTTTTGTATTTTTTTAGTAGAGACGGGGTTTCACCGTGTTAGCCAGGATGGTCTCGATCTCCCGACCTTGTGATCCGCCCGCCTCGGCCTCCCAAAGTGCTGGGATTACAGGTGTGAGCCCCCACGCCCGGCCGCTGCCAGGCTTTTTGCCTTCTCCAGGCCGGCATATATTTGGTGCGCATTTAAATCTCCCTTAAACAAAGTGTAGAAAAAAAAGTGCTTTAACAAATTTGAATCAATATATCTTTCACCTGTGCAAGATCTATGAGAATAGAGACTGAAAGTTTTTTCATTATATTAATAAATCACTAGTGCTTAGCGTGAAATAGTTTCTTAATTCTTTTCAACAGATAAACAAATATGTAGATTTTGAAAACATCTTTTAAATTCCTATTAAATATCTCGTTTTAAAAATACATCTGAAATAAATCTTTCCCTACACATATTAAAAAACCTTTTTCTTTTGGGGTTTACAAGTAGTCTCTCCAAGGAACTGGGGCAAAGAAAATTCCAAGGAAGCTACACGTATTAGAAAAATCTTTGTGTTAGTTGAGAACTGTACCATGTAACTTTGTAAGACAATATTTTATTTAATTTTCTTAAACGTTGTTATAAAGGGATGTCACTATAGTGATACTGTTTTAGGTGGATATAATACTTACCTTTACCCTCTTTTTATTGATTTTTAAATATTACACACATTTTAATTAGTGGCAATTTTACAATAATGTGAGGCTCTTAGAAAAGTGTTCATTTTTGCTCATGAGAAATGGGAAATGTGTTGGAGTTTTGGAGTTCCAGTTCAAATAACTGAAGAAAAAAATATATGTATATATGTATATAGTGGCTTCAACTGCATACTTTAATCAGCTTAGGAACAGTTATCCCAAATTTCTTTCTTAACACATAGTATTATTCTTTCCAAAGTGACTAAAACTAAGAATTTTTGAATAACGTTTATTTCTGTGATAAAGTAATTATGTACAAGTTAGAAGTTATGCTAGGGGGCCTGGAAATTCTCGGACAGAAATTCTATTTTCTCATAATTTCATGGCTTTTAAATATGTCGCCATTGCATAGAGTTTTCACAGCAGCTGGTAGAGATGTAATATTAATTTTATTTGCCTAGGGAAGGGAAGGAAGTAGCTGGCCATTGTGTGTATGTGATGTAGTAGGGAAGACTAGGTTACTCTGAAGTAGTTTCGAGCATTAGTACCTTAGGTATTGCATTGAATTATTTAAGAAGGTGGGGAAAGTTCAGAAGAAAATGATTGGAATGATAGTACCAAAATTTCAGTGAGGTATGGTTAGTGGAATTAGAAATATTTATCCTGGACACCATAGGAGAATATAAAACTAGTTTCAAATATTTGGAGAGCTGACAAGTAGAAGATAAATTAAGGAATTGTTTGTATTGTCCTATGGCCTTGAGAAGAAGCTATATGGAGTCTTTTGCCTCAAAATGAGAAAAGCACAAAGATGTCCAAAGAGGCAAAGAGAATTCTCATTCAAGATGGCAGACACAGCACATATCTCCTTTCTACTTTAAATCTCATAGAAATGTCAGCAAAGAAGAACTAAGGGTAATAAATTAAAGACTACTCGGTACAGAAGAAAGGGCATCAGGAACTAGGGATATAGATAAGTTTCTTGAAAGTGGGAATACTTGGAATTGTATTAACAGCTTAAATCACATTCACAGGAGAAGGCTGCAGTAGAGGCTAGAGCTATTTTTCCTGGCAACAGACCCAGAGAGAAGCTCAACACTTGGAGTATGAAAGGAGAGTTGGAAAGAAATCAACTGTGGAATAACTGCGTGAGTCATAGTCCATGTTCTCCTTCCCTGCATCACATGCTCAGGCTAAAACCAGAGGACTAATATTTAAAATAATTGAATAGTCTTCGTGAGAAGGAGCCCTAGTTGGGGTGATGCCTCATCTGAGTAAACTTCTTCCCACTTTTGCTGGGAAGTGGGAGAAGTAGGGAGGGGGACCTCCAACCTCCTCTTCTTTCACTACAAGGTCTAAAGCAAAGGCTGCCAGTGACAGCCACTTGTGTAGACAAGAGAGAGCTGGACAAGGCCGAGCTATCTGCATTGAATGAGGTGACTTACCTCAGTTGTAGGTATGAATCTATAGCCAAGGATTATGAAAACCTGAAGAAAAATGAGGACAAAAGAGCAGGTTGAGAGAAAAAATACCCTGACTCTGGAGGAAATAGATAATTCAGGACATAGAAAATTCTTTATTCTATGTAGTATCCTCATGGAAACAAAGTCGAGAGAAAGCATTTTTAGTGCAAAATTAGATTGCTAAGAAAGAACAACTAAAACAAAATAAATAGTTATTAAAATGAAAAAGTAATTGTTAAAGTTAGAAATTCAAGGGAAGACCTGGGAGAAAAAGTTGAAGAAACTGCTCTAAATGTAGTGCAAAAAGATAAAGGATGGAAAATGTGGGAGAAAAGTGAAGAGATTAGAGAAGCATCCAAAGGGATGTTCAGAAAGAGACAAAACAAAGAATAAGAGAGAATTTTCCATAAGTGAGGAAATAGGACTTGAGATTGTAAGAACCCTAGAGAATGCAAAATAGGATGAATGAACAAACTTAGCCCAAGGCACATTCTTGTGACATTTTAGATATTGAGAATAAAGGGAAGAGTCTAAAAGCCAAAAGAATAGATTACTCAGTGAGAATCCAATTGGTATTAGATAGATCATCAGCAACTGTAAATGCTAAGAAAAACAAAACAAGAAGCATGCCTTCAAAATGTGTAAAATAAAGTTTTTTGAACCTAAAATTCTCTACTTAGCCAAACTATCAATCGATCAAGAGTGAGGCATTTTCAAGCATGCAAGAACTCAGACCATTTACCACCCACAGACTATTTCTGAAAGAATTACTGAAGCAAAACAAAAAAGAATCCAAGTAGGAGGAAGCCATGGCCTCTAAGGAACAGTGGATCTCACCCAAGATTGTAATGAAATATAATTCCAGGATGACAACCTTGAGGCAGGCCTAGAAAGCCATCAGTCTGAATTAGAACCAGAAGTCAGATGCTCTGTGAAGAATCTCTTTCAGGAGGACATGGATTTCTTCTATAAATTGAATGACTGAGAAGCTGAGTGGTCTTGTGACAAGGCAAAGGCATGGTAGGTCATTGTGATAAGGTATCATCCAAACACTCTCCAAACTGTGAAGTAATTTTCTTCTTCCAATAGCAAAGGTTTATTGACAAGAGTTACGTCTCCTCTATAGGCTCAAGGGCACAGCTGTGCTTGGTTCTGCAGTGAACAATGATCTCCCTACGAATATTATGAATGCTACTTTTCAGTTTTCAGTTTAAAAAATCAATTTATAGACAATGCATCAAAGATTAATTGTAGTTATAGGACAAGTGTGAAAACAATAGTACACTGGAATGGAGGTTAGGAGAGAGGGAAGGAGCAAAGGAACAAGATGTAATGATGTTGGATTCTTTTCATCAGAAATAAAAAGAATTAAGAGATATTGTGTCTACATTTGAGAAGTCAAAATAGGGTTTCAAGTATCTTATATAAATTTGTTAATTGTAGTGATATCACACTGAGGCACTATAACATAGTCGTTAAGAGCATGGATCCTGGAGCCAGAACACCTGCGTTTGAATTTTTGCCACACACTTCAATTTGGGCAAATTGCTTATCTGTGCCTTGGTTTTCTCAGCAAAAATTGAAAATAAATAGTTAATATTTCACAAAGTTATTTGAAAATAAAAACAGTTGATATATATAAAGTGCTTAGAACAGTCTTTGGCACATAAAAAATTATTCTATATCATCATATGTTACCGATGATAACGATGATGATGATGATGATGGAAAACAACTAAACATCTGGAGAAAAGGGAACCCTTGTACCCTGCTGGTGGGAAAGTAAATTAGTACATTGATTATGGAAAACAGTCTGGAGGTTCCTCAGAAAATTAAAAATAAATCTACATATTACCCAGAAATGGGATTTCTGGGTATATATGCAAAGAAGATGAGATAAGTATGCCAAAGAGACATCTGCACTTTCATGTTCACTGCAGCATTATTTACAGTATCCAAGAAATGAAATCAATGTAAGTGTCCATCAGTGGATGAATGGGTAAAGAAAATGCGGGGAGGGGGATTAGGAAGATGTTGGTCAAAGGATACAAGGTTTCAGTTAGACAGGAGGAATACATTCAGGAGATCTATTGTACAATATTGTGGCTATAGTTAATAACAATGTTTTATATTCTTGAAAGTTGCTCTAAGAGAATAGGTTTTAAGTGTTGTCACCATAAAAATGTTAAGTATGTGAGCTAATGCATATGTTAATTTGCTCAATTTAGCTATTTCACAATATATACATATTTTAAAACAACATATTGACATGATAAATATATACAATTCTTTGTCAGGTACAAAGTTAAATGAAAATACAACACAAAACATTGAAAAAGTTAAAAAATAAAAATTTAATGGGCAGAGATCGGAAAAGGGAGGTAGTAGCTTGAGAAAATTTATTTTTTCAATTTTTTTAAAATGAGAGATCAACGAATGTTTAAACTTGACAAGTTAGTAAAGAGAGGCATAACCATATTCAGTGTTATGGAAGCAATCTTCAGAGAAATTTCTATTTTGTCCTATTTTAAGGGTTTTTAAAAATTCATATGCAAGCACTACTTTTATTTAGTTTTTACCAATTTTACTGAGGTGTAATTGACATACAATAAACTGCACATATTTAAAGTGAACAGTTTGATACATTTTGGACTTAGGTACACACCCCTGAAACTATCACAGTAATCAAGATGATGAACATAACCACCAACCATCATGCTCTAAAGTTTCTTCATGCACCTTGATAATCTCTTCTTCCTACCTCTTCCCACTCCCCCAATCTCAGGCAACCACCGTTCTGCTTATGTGACAATAAATTGGCTTGCATTTCCTAGAATTTTATATCAATGAAATCATATAGTATGTACTCTTACATCTGACTTCTTTCATTCAGCATAATTATTTTGAGATTATTCACACTATACTGTGTAACAATACATTCATTCTGTGGATAAACCACAATTAACAAATTTACTTGTTGATGGAAATCTGGTTTTTGTTTTGCTTTTTCCAGTTTTTGGCTATTACAAATAGAACTGCTGTGATCCTTCATGTACAAGTCTTGGTATGGGCTGGGATTTCATTTCTTTGGGATAAATACTTAGAAGTGGAATGGCTGGATTATATGATAGGCATATGTTTAAATTTTTAAGAAACTGTCAAACTGTTTTCCAAAGTGTTTTACAGTATATGAGAATTCCAGTTTCTCCACATCCTTATCTTGGCAGTCAACTCTATCAGCCATTCTGACAGCTATGTTGTGGTATCTTATTGCAGTCTTATTTTACATTTCCTTGGTGACTATTTATATTGACTATCTTCTCATGTTTTTGTTTGTCATCTGTATATCTTTATGGAAAAGTATCTGTTCAGATATTTTGGTCGTTTAAAAAATTGTTTTTTTTTCTTTTTATTGAGATTTCAGTTTTCTTTATGTATTTTGGATACAAAGCTTTCATTAAAGATATGATTTACAAATGTTTTCTTCCAATCTGTAGCTTGACTTTTTATTCTTTTAACAGTGCCTTCTGAAGAATAGAAATTTTTTATTTTGGTGAGGCTCAATCTTTACCTTTTTTCCTTTCATGGATTATGCTTGGGTGTTATGTTTACCAAATATTTGCATAACCTATGATCACAAAGATTTTCTATTGGGTTTAGTGTTAGGTTTTGTATTGAAGTCTGTGATCAGTTTAAAGCTAATCCTTGTGTGTGGTTGAAACAAAATTAATTTTTTTTGCATACATGTATTCAATTGTTCCAATGCCATTTGTTGAATCTCTCCTTTCTTCACCAAATTGCCTTTGTACTTTTGCCAAACATCAGTTGCTGAAATATGTGTTGGTCTATTTATGGACTCTATTTTGTTCCATTGATATATTTGTTTATCTTGATTCTAATATCAGACTGTATTGATTAGTCTTATAATAAGCCTTGAAAGTACACAGTTAGTTCTCCAACTTTGCTTTTCTTTGTCAAAATTGTTTTGGCTCTTTTTTTTTTTTTTTTTTTTTTTTTGAGATGGAGTCTTGCTCTGTTTCCCAGGCTGGAATGCTGTGGCGCAATCTCAGCTCACTGCAGCCTCTGCCTCCTGGGTTCCAGCAATTCTCCTGTCTCAGCCTCCCTAGTAGCTGGGATTACAGGCGTAAGCCACCATGCCTGGCTAATTGTGTGTGTGTGTGTGTGTGTGTGTGTGTGTGTGTGTGTGTGTGTATTTTTAGTAGAGATGGGGTTTCACCATGCTGGCCAGGCTACTCACGAACTCCTGACCTCAGGTGATCTGCCTGGCTCAGCCTCCCAAAGTGCTGGGATTACAGGCTTAAGCCACTGTGCCCAGCCTGTTTTGGCTCTTATAGGTCCTTTGCATTTCCATATGAATTGTAGAATCAGCTTGTTGATTTCTACAAACAAACCTTTTGAGATTTTTATTGGGATTGCATTGGGTCTGTAGATCAATTCAGGAGGAACTGACATCTTAACAATATGAAGTCTTCTCACCCATACCAATGTACATCTCTCCCATTTATTTAGGCCTTCTTTAATTTTTCTCAGCGGTTTTGTAATTTGTAATGAAAAGATCTTGCCTATATTTGTTAGATTTTTTTCCTAAATATTTCATAATTTCATCCTATGGTGTTATTTTTAAAATTTCATTTTCCAATTATTTGTTGACAGAATATAAGAAATAAAATTTATTTTTGCATATTGATGGCATATTCTGTGAAATTGCTAAGCTCACTTATTAGTCCTGCAAGTTGTTTTTATAGATTTCTTCAGTTTTTTTACATAGACGATCATGTTGTTGGCAAGGAAAGACAGTCTTACTTCTTATCCAATCTGGATGCTCTTTATTTCTTTTTCTTCTATGACTGCACTGGCCACAATCTCCGATACAGTACTGAATAGAAGTTTGAGAGCAAGCATCCTTGTCTTGTTCCTGATCTTAGAAGGAAAGCATTCAGTCTTTTGCCATTAGGTATGGTATTAGTTATACTTTTTTGTATATGCCCTTTATCAGGTTGAGGAAGTTCCCATTTATTTTAGTTTACTATAAATTTTCATCAGGAATGGCTGTTGGATTTTGTCATTTTTTTAAATCCACTGATATAATCATATGGTTTTTCTTCTTTGATATGTTAATAAATTACATTGATTTTTTATTATACCAATCTTGCATTCTTAGGATGAGCCCCTCTTAGTCATTATGTATTACCCTTTTTATGTGTTGTTGGATTTGATTCCTTAAAATATTGTTTTGAACGTTCACATCTATGTTCATGAGATATATTGCTCTGTGGTTTTACTTCTTTTCATGTCTTTGTTTGGTATTTAGAGTATTTAGCTCACCACATAGAATGAGTGGCGAGTTATTACCTTGTCTTCAAATTTTTGGAAGAGTTTATACAGAATTGATATTATTTCCTTCTCAAAATGTTTGATATAATTCTCCACTGAACCTGAGTCTGGAGTTTTCTTTGTAGGAAGGTTTCTATCTACAAATCCAATTTCTTTCGCAGATATTGGGTTGTTCACATTATCTTTTTCTTTTTAAACGAAATTTGGTGGTTTGTGTCCTTTGAAAAATTAAAAGTGCTCAACATCATTGATCATCAGAGAAATGCAAATCAAAAGTACAATGAGATATCATCTCACTTCAATTAAATTTGCTTATATCCAAAAGACAGGCAATAACAAATGCTGTTGAAGATGTAGAGAAAAGGGAGCCCTTCTACACTGTTGGTGGGGATGTAAATTAGTACATCCACTATGAAGAACAGTTTGGAGGTTCCCCAAAAAGCTAAAAATAGAGCTACTATATGATCCAGCAATCCCACTGCTGGGTATATATCCCAAAGAAAGGAAATCAGTATATCAAAGAGATATCTACACTCCCATGTTTGTTGCAGCCCTGTTCACAATAGCCAAGATTTTGAAGCAACCTAAGTAACCATCATCAGATGAATGCATAAAGAAAATGTGGTACATATACACAATGGAATACTATTCAGTCATCAAAAAGAAAGAGATACTGTCATTTGCAACAATGGATGAAACTGGAGATCATTATGTTAAGTGAAATAAGCCAGGCTCAAAAAGATAAACATCACACTTATCTGTGAGATGTAAAAATTAAAATGATTGAACTCAAACAGAGAGAGTAGAAGGATGGTTATCAGAGGCTAGGAAGGGTAGTGGGGGGCTGTGGAGGACTTGGGGGTGGTTAATGGGTATAGAAAAATAGAAAGAATGAATAAGACCTACTGTTTGAAAGCAGAACAGTGTGACTGTAGTCAATAACAACTTAATTGTACATTTTAAAATAACTAAAAGAGTATAATTCAATTGGTTGTAACTCAAAGGATAAATGCTTAAAGGGATGGATTCCCCATTCTCCATATATGATTATCACACATTGCATGCCTGTATGACATCTCATGTACCCCATAAATATATACACCTACTATGTACCCCCCAAAGTTTTAAAAAATTATTTCATTTCATCAAAGTTGTCAATAATTTTGGCATTTGAACTTCCAATAGTGTGAAAATTAAAAAATAATAATTTTGGCATAAAGTTGTTCACAACATACTCATTATCCTATTAATATCTATAGCATCTGTAGTGATTTCACCTTTTTTATTCCTGATATTAGTAATTTCTGTTTTCCATTTTTGTCCTTATCAGTCTGACTAGACACCTATTATTTTTATTGACCTTCTCTAATATTCAGCTTTTGGCTTCATTAAGCTTTATTGTTTTTGTGACTTCTATTTCATTGAATTCCAATCTGATCTTTATTATTTCCTTTCTTCTGCTTACTTTGCATTTTATTTTTTCTTCTTTTTCTGGCTTCTTAAGGGGAAGCTGAGATCATGGATTTGAGAAATTTCTTCTCCGTTACTGGAGGTATTTAATACTATAAATATAATACTAGTACTATAAATTTTAGTACTATACATGTAATACTAGTACTATAAATTTTAGTACTATAAATTTCCCCTGAAGTACTTCTTTAGTGCCATCCACAAATTTCAATATGTTATTTTTTAAATTTTCAATTAGTTCAGCATACTTTCTAATATGCCTTTTGATTTCTTCTTTTATCAATGGGGGTGTTTAGAAGTGTATTATTTTGTTGGCAAGTATTTGGGAATTTGCCATAAAACTTTTTATTATTGATTCCCAATTTAATTCCATTATAGTTAGAAGAAATATTCAGTTGGGCTTCAATTCATTCATACATATTGAGACATGTTTTATGGTCCACAATATAGACTATCATTTTAATGTTCCATGTGCATTTGAAAAAAAAATGTGTTATACAGCTGTTGTTTGGTGAGGTGTTCTATGCCAATTTGTCATGTTGGTGGGTAGTTTGGTTCAAGTCTTCTATATCTTTACTGATATTGTTCTATTATTATTGAGGGGTATTGATATATTTGTCTATAGTTGTAGAGTCATCTATTTCTCTTTGCCGTTAAATGAATTTTTGCTTCCTGTATTTTAAATTGATTTTATTAGGTACATAAGCATTTAGGATTGTTACGTACTCTCAATGAATTCACCCCTTATTCATTATGAAACGAACTTCCTTGTTCCCAGTGATATTAATATTGTTTGCTCTTGCTCTGACATTCATATAGCCACTTCAGCTTCCTTTTGATTAGTCTTAGCATGTTAACATGGCTGTTCAGGCTACCATAACAAAACAGCACAGGCTGGGTAACTTAAACAACAGACATTTATCTTTCCACAGTTCTGAAGACTGAAGTCCAAGATCAAGGTGCCAGCAGAATTGGTGTCTGGTGAGGTCTCTCTTCTTGTCTTGCAACTGGCTACCTTCTTGTAGTGTCCTCACACAGCTTTCTCTGTGTGCAAGCAGAGAGCAGGGTGGGGAGAGAGAGAAAGAGAGCAAGTTCTGGTGTCTCTTCCTTTCCAGTTCTGTTGGATTAGAGTCCCACCCTTATATCCTCATTCGACTTTAATCACTTCCTTAATGCCCTTATCTCAAAATACAGTCAAATTGGGGGTTAAGATTTCATCATATGAATTTTGGAGAGACACAGTTCAGTCCATAGCAGCATGGTATATCTTTTCCATCCTTTTACATATAACTCATTTTCTTTTAGTATGTGAAGTGTTTTTCTTATAGGAAGAGTAGAGTTGAATTTTGCATTTTTACCCAGTCCTAACAATCTCAGTTGGGGGGTCAAAATAATAACATTTAATGTGATTATTGATATGCTAAGGTTTAAATTTGTCACCTTGCTATCTGCTTTCTATTTATTCCAAGTGTTATTTGTTCTCCCTTTGTACTTTTTCTGCCTTCTTTTGGATTATTTTTATTAACTCATTTTATCTTCTCTGTTGGTTTATTAACTACAACTTTGATGGATACACACACACGCGCGCACACACACACACACACACACACACACACGTTATTTTGACTCCCCCAGTTGAGATTGTCAGGATTGCATAAAAAAGCAAAATTCAACTCTATTCTTCCTATAAAAGAAAAATACTTCCCATACTAAAAAAAAAAAAAATGGTTAAATGTAAAAGGTTGGAAAAGGTACACCATGCTGCTATGGACTGAATTGTGTCTCTCCAAAATTCATATGGCAAAACCTTAACCCCCAATTTGACTGTATTTTGAGATAAAGGGATACATTAAAATACATTTAATCTCAAACATATTTTTTCATTTCTAGAAGTTTGATGTATACATTTTAAATATCTTTTAGTGTCTCTACTTAAGTTTTTGAACATATATAGCTGTAATAGCTGTTTTAATATCCTTGTTTGTTAATTTTAACATCTGCCTCAGGTTTGGTTTGGTTTCAGTTGATTGTTTTCCCTTCATTATGGTCATGTTTTACTGCTTCTTTGCCTTCCTGGTCATTTTTTTATTGTATGCCAGACATTGTATATTTTTTTCCTATTGAGTGTTGAATTTTTTTATTTCTATAAATATTCTTGAGCAGTTGAGTTGTTTGGAAACAGTTTGTGTTTGGGGATCAAACCTTTATGATTTGTTAATCAGGACCAGAGAAGTGTTTAGTTTAGGGCTAATTATGCTCCACTACTGAGGCAAGATTTCTTTGAGTACTCTACCAAGTGATTCATGAATTAGGAGATTTTCTAGTCTGGCTGATGAAAGTAAGCCCTTTTCCAGTCATGTGTAAGAACTTGATACTGTTCCCCTTAATCCTGTGGGATGGTTCTTTTCCTTATCTGCGGTTGTTTCCTCTTATGCATGTGATAATCAGTAGTGTGATGAATACTTGAGAGGATCCCTTTACAGAACTTGCCATCATATTTTTCATAGAGAATATCTTGCATTAGCTGATTGAAATATTTATTCTTGATTGGTACTTGGCAGTCCTGTTTACTACCTGTCCTGTATATGGAATATCACTGCCAACTTTAGCGGGGGGGGATGGGACTGGGTGGGCAGTTCCTGCAAAAACTTCAAATGACTAATTAGAAATGTCAGTGGCATTTTCTCCCTCAGAAACATCGCTGTTTAGGATCGTGAATTTTCTTTTACTCATATTTGATTCGATTATCTTTCTTTCAAAGAATTTTTCTAGAATGAATATTTTACTTGTATATTAGGAATAGTTTTTAAATAATCAGAACACAACTGCTCTCCTCAATTATCATCATTCTCATTACTCATTCCATTTCTCTGGCTGGCAGCCTATGGACCACTGGAAGGCCCGGCCAGGGGTGTGGTCATCAGGACTTCCCAAAAGCACATCTCCTTCCTCTGTGGCTTGACTGTGTGCCTCTCCTCTCGAGCTGCAACTGTACCATGAGTCTCCCTTCCAGATCAAAAGGAAGATCCCGACCGCAGTCCTTTGGAATAAGATTTGCTAGTATTCAATGTTCTTTCTTGTGTCTCAACTCATATCCATATTTTCTTCTCAGAATTCCATAGGTTTAGCCCTTTGGGGGTTTTTACTTTTTTCTTCTTATTTTTTATACTGCCTGTTCCTACTTTATGCTGTGTTTTACCCATATTTATGTCATTTTAATCAGTTCCATAAGACTGTGTTTGAACTCCCCACCTCCACTTGCTTTTGTTTTGGGTGATGACTGTGCTGTCCACCTCTGCCACTTGTTTCAGGCCCTACTACTTTTTCCCTCCAATGTTCCTTCTTTTGTGTCTGCCATCTATTATTGCTGAATACGTTATTGTCGTTTTTGTCTTCTTATTTTATTTTCTCCTCTTCTTCCTTCAGTGGATGTCTTGAGATGTTCTTGCTTCTTATGTTCCATGTTTGCTGACATAGGGCAAAACTAAGAATCTGCGACAAGACAAGCTGCTTTTTCCTCTATCAAAGCTGCCTTCATCGGGCAGCTGTCCTTCATTCTCAATTACTTTATCTACTCTTTTTTGCCTTTTTCACATCCAACCTGTAATCTATATTTTCCTTTCTTCAGCTATATCTTAAACTGTTAAAATAGAGCCTGACATGTAGTACACATTCAGTAAATATCTGTTGAATAAAAGAAAACAATAAATGAATGAATGGTTGTTTGGTAATTATCGCCTCAGTTGTTGATTCTTTGCTTTTATTTTAGTTCCTGGAAGCTGGTCTGCCTGGATCAGCATTGCGTGTGGTGCATATTTTTATGTAGTTTGCATTACCTTATGCCCCACAAAGACCACACATTTCTTACTATACAGGAAGTGCTGTTGCATCCTGGGCTTCTATATGCATAGTGATTTTCCTTACCATGTGTGTTGATGTGTTTTTAAAGTGGGAAGTGGAGGCTTTTGTGCATAGAAAGGAACCATGTATAGGTATTTGAATATTAAAATAACATTTAATTAATTTAAGTTGCAAACGAAACTATAATTTTCTTAGGACTTTAAGTTCACTTTGTGATTTTGATTTTACTTATAAACTAAGTAATTTTTACATAATTTGAAATCATCCTTCCACTTATTTAATTCAATTTTAGCGGATTAAAATCCTTTATAGTCATAGTAATAAGCCATCAATTAAGTTCCCCTAAATTTTTAAAAACACTTCTAATTTATTATATCAAGCAACTGAGTTGCCTCACAAGGCCAACTTAAGCCTCAAAAGGCAAAATCAAAGAAATTGTAAATCTCATAATTCACCCTTAAAACCATAATGAGTCAAAATATTCAAATACTGTCTATAAACATTATCAAATTATCAACTCTGTGACTTAAGATAATGAGAATAAAATTGATTATAAATTTCACATAGAAGTTATGAAGATCAATTTGTCAGATTTCCTAATGTTAGGTTTTATTAAACATTACTAATACTTTAAACACAAAAATTATAACTTCTGTTTCTAAACCTATTAAACAGTATTAATGCTTTGGGTGGGTCCAATTTACTTCATGATCTTTATGTTCAATTTTTAGCACTCCTATAATTGTAAAATCATTTCCCTATGAAGGGGAGCAGTTTTACATCCCAGCTGGGCTGAGGTTACGCGGTTGAAAGACCTGGGGCTGTGATATAGTTACTTATTTATCAGATGTTTAAGATAAACATGGTTCATAGGCTACAAACTTCTAGAATGATTCTGCCCAAGCCACAGACAGACACACTGAGTCTTTTTCTATATGCTGTGTCCATGAGGGGCCAAGATCCTGTCTTTTTGTTGGGATTGATTTGGCAGACAATGTCTCCTGGCCATTTTAACCCCACATTATACTTTTTCCCAAATCTTTTATAACACCTTAAAACATTAATTATCTTATCTTTTCTAGGTGGAGATTTGTGTACCCTATTTAGGTTGCCACAAATTGCTTTTATCACTTGGTTAAAGTCTTCATTTCTTTCACATTTTTTTTTTCAGCTTGACTTTAAATCTTGTGTACAAATCCAAAATTTGAACATTAACTGGGAGTTTTATGACATTAAGGAATTACTGTTCACCATTCTTTTAGGGGTGATCATGGTATCATGGGTATTTTTAAGAGTCTTTATCTTTTAGAGATATATTCAGAAATATTTACTGATGAAAATACAAGTAAAACACAAGTCAATAAATCATATTAGACCCAAAGTATTCCATTCATGCAAATCCTCAGGATCACAATGATTTAGAAAAGGTGAAATCCAGAGGCCAGAGCAGGGTCCTTCCCTAATCAGCTTTATCTTTCATGCTTTTCTTAATCAAATGAAAAGAATCCCAATTCGAGTTAAAGTAGCAAAATCTCCCCTCCGCCCTCTCCGCTCTCTCATTTCCCCTCTCCCCTCACTTTTGATTCTTTTTGCCTAGGTTTGGACCTGATGTTTAGTCTTGTTCCACATGGTGGCAAGAAGGCTTCAGGTAGCTCCAGGGTTGTATGGTACTGACAGCTAGCAGTCTCAAAAGGAGAAACTCAACGGCCAGCATCCATGACAATTACTCCAGAGAGCACTGATTGGCCATGCTTGGGTCATGTGTATTCCTCTGGACCAATCACTGTGACTCAGGAAATGGGGTGTTCTGATTGAACACCCTGGATCACAGGGTAGTGGGAGAAGCAGGGCCCTTTGATCCATAGACTCAAGAGAATGATTTGGAGTTCGGGAGGGGCAGTTTTCTGCAGTAAGGAACACCAGACAAACAAAAAAGTGGCAGATGCCCATTACAGAACAAAATATATTCAGACAATTTTGTGAGATTCATGTATATCAAGTCTTTGGCTGTTCCTGCTGCCAGCTACAATCGTTGTCTGTCCCAAATGGAAAGGCACTTGGCAGCTGATTAACTCAATCCCTTCTTCCTTGGCATAGCACTATTTCATTTTTGTATTGCTCAGTTCCAAATCTGTCTTTTACTTTTCCTGGAACTGCTAATACATTACAGTCTTTATCCAAGTCACACAAGGTCTTCTATATTTGTTTTTAATTTGGAATCATCACCAAGTTTTTCCAGAATTCTATGTTCTTTCCTATAGATATATATTCTCCAGGATAACTCCTGTTTCCCAGCTAAGCCAACTTCCTGGGGATTTGAATTACTGAAAAGATGTCCCTTTAGGCTCATCCCAATTCATGTAATAAATTGAGTCCCAGTGCATAATCTTACAGTCAGCTGCTTTTAAAATGAATTCTAAACTCAATTGAGTTTCCATTCAAGAGGCATTTCCTATTCCTACTTTTATCTTCCCCTGTCAGAAAATGCAGAGCTGCTTCTAGTTTCCTGTCCTCCTGGGATGCTGCTGCTGCTGCTGATGATGATGACAATTATAATAAGAAGGTAGTTAATATTTACTAAGTAAATTAGTGCTGGCATTGTGCTAGGTATTTAGTGCAATCTCTCTTTTAATCCTGACAATGTGCCATAAGGCAGATGTCAAACCCCAATTTTACATAGAGGGAAATAGGCTCAAAGTGGGGACTTACTCCAGGTCACACAGCCAGTAGGTGGACTATCTGAGATTTGAAACCAGGTCAATCCAACCCCAAATGCCACGCTCTTTATCCCTGTGGTTAGACACATGAAACTATCACCTTTCTTTCCCTTTTCTTATTCCTCCTCCCCCATCTTACTGGTTTTGCTTTCCTTTCCAGCCCCTTCCAATTCTTTTATCTTTTTTCCTTCCTCTCTTACACAAAGGTTTAATTTGCCTTCCCCATAGTAGGCACTTAATAGAAAGTTGTTGAAATAGTTGTGTTGCCAATTTATTGAACAGTCTAAATTTATGCTTCCATATTGATGGTCATTGGATCCCTTCAACCACCTCTGTAAGGAAAGCTAGGTGTTATTCCTATTTCATGCATCAGAAAATTAAACATAGACAATGAAAGAATAACAGACATGTAGGGTCAACTCGTTTTATCGGAATGAGGGGTTAAAGCCATTGAACAGGTCATGCCCTAATAGACTCTTGAAAACCTGAAAAAGCAAGCGATTGATCTGCCTCATTTAGAATAAATGCCCGAGTCCTTTCCATGGTCTGAGCCTCTTCCTTTTTGTCCTTTTTATATTCTCAGCCTCCGGGCCCCAGGCTGTTTCTCCCATAGGCAAGCTTTTACCTCAGGGTTCTGCTCTACCCCTATTGTCTCCACCTGGAGCTCTCTCCCTCAGAAGTCAACAAGGCTCTCTCTCTCTCTCACCTCTTTCAAGTCTTTGCTCAAATGTCTCCTTAGTGAGGGCTTCCTTGGCTACTGTATTTAAGGCTTCCATGGCTACCATAACTAGGCTACTCAGTTCCTATAGGATTCCCTTTCCCCTTTCCTGTTTTACTTTTCTCCGTAGAACTTTCCACTTGTTAAATTAATATCATTATTTAAAATTTTCTGAATTTAAAGAATGTTTGCTCCATTAGGACAGGAATTTTGCCTGTTTTCTTTACTAGTATACAGTAGGTACTCAATAAATTTTCACGGAATGGATGAATGAATAAATGCAGATTTTCATTCATTCATTTATTCAAGAGACATTGACCACACAGGAGATGAGCTGCCTGTCCTCCTGCCTGCTTTGTTTGAACACCTCAAGGAGGAAGGCTAATAAAAGTCCAATGCCAAATATGAAAATAAATATTGCAGTCAGATGTTGAGTAATAAAAAGTAGTGTAAAATTGCTGTCTTAATCGCTATGCCATTGGAGAAGCCCAGTTTAAGACAAGGAAAGATCTGTAAGACAGGGTCAGCCAGGGAAAGATAGGAAAGGAATTCTAGAGACAGAATCCTTCCCCTCTGCTCCAGCCCAAGATGCTGCCTCCTGTTTTCTGAGAAATAAGAAGGCAGGTCTATTCCTGTTATCTTGGGACTCAGCAGGGCAGCCCTGTTCTTTAACAAGACAATCTTTCAATTTATGTGACTTGCATATTTTAGAATAAATTCTGTTAATATGCAAGCACTAATACTGTAATACAATCATTTCTACTTCCTGCCAGTGTTTTATGTCTAAGGCGGCAGCTCAGTGCAGAAAGAAATTTAGGTAGGCAAGGGAATAACACTGCTTTCCCTTCATGCTCAACAATGTGCCACCTGACATGGGATTCTTTTCAGTTCATTTGTTTGTAATTTAAACCAATTCCTGTCTCAGCATTGGCTCATGCCTGTAATCCCAGCACTTTGGGAGGCCGAGGTGGGAGGATCACTTGAGCCCAGGAGTTTGACACTAGCCTGGACAACATAAGGAGGCCTTGTCACTACAAAAATAAAAATAAATAAATAAAATAAAATTAGCCGGGTGTGATGGTGCATGCCTGTGATCTCAGCTACTTGGCAGGCTGAGATGGGAGGATCACTCAAGCCCAAGAGATAGAGGCTGCAGTGAGCTGTAATTGTGTCATTGCACTCCAGCCTGGGCAACAGAGCAAGACCCTGTCTCAAGAAAGATACAGTAAAATAAACAAACAAATTTTTGACTGGGAAATGTCTGTTAAAACATCAGGAAGACTCCCAAATTAAGGAAAGGACTATCACCATCAACCTCAAATTGAAAATTAAATCATTTTTCAATGTCTTGAAAAATCATACAGAATCTCTACAAGTCTTGGCTTTGCCTTAATAATAGTCAGTACACTGGCCAACGATGGCACCAAGATTAAAGGAGGAGGTGAGTCTGGAAACACATGAACTTGACCTTCTACAATCGATTTCCTGTGAGGGAGACTCTGGACATGGGCAAAGCTTTAAGCCAAAGATCTGTGATGCTCAAGGCTCATCCAGGCATTGGCAGTGTATTCAATGTATAAAAAAAATTCTTTTATTTCCAATGACCTGTTTTATGTTAATTTTATTGTGATGTAGAAAAATAACTAGTGTGTCCTTCAACTTACTTGCCAAAACCTACTCTTTTAAATATTTTCTCAGGAGAAAAGTCATTTTAATTTTAACTTAAAAAAAAAAAAACCACAACTTTTCAGGTAAATTGCCAAACAGATGTTTAGTGCTTAGAGTCTCAGGGCAGCCTTTGTGTTGTGGTTGCAAACATACCTATCTTCTAGATCAGAGGTCAGGAAACTACATCTCTGTGTCACAAACACGACTGCCGTGTGTTTTTGTAAATAAAGTTTAGGATAACCACAGTCATTCATTGCATATTGTCCACTGTCTACTGTCTACATATATTGTGTACTGTCTCTGGGTGCCTTCCCTGCTATGGCAGAGTTGAGTAGTTGAGATAGAGACAGCATAGCCCACAAAGCTTAAGATATTTGCTCTCTAGCCCTTGACAAAGAAGTTTGCCAACTCCTAATCTAGTAGAGGCAAATTTCTGTTATAAAGTCTGTACTTATGTTTACTCATGAATGCATCCATTCTTTTAGAATAACATGGATCATAGTGTACATAATAAACTGTTCCAAAATGGCAATATGGTTTAGTGACCATATATTATTGTCACCATTTCCCTTATTATGTTAACTTCTATTAGATGAAAATGCTATTCTGTAAAACAGAATTATGAAACAGTATACACAGCACAGTGTGAGAGTCAATGGCAAGACATTGCACACAATGAAACCCAGTGAAATGTGAAGAGGCTAACCGGGAAGTCTCCGTAAGTGCATATATTTCACAGCTGTGGTGCTAAGAGACAGATTGCTTGGAATGCCATGAGTAGACAAAGCCAAACAAAAATGAGAGCATGAGGAAATTTTTCTGGTGAAAACAATTTTTCCTTACAAATTTGAAATATTTTCCCTTTTATGTTATATTCTTTTTTTCCCCTTTTGAAGTAACATGGCTTCATCCTCTGCCAAATGTATTCCTTCCCACCCCTACCCCACTTTTGGTTTCTTCAATAAATAAAAATTGATTCCTTCACCTCGTTCACATGGACAGTTTCACAAGCTTATAGTGCATGTTGAAAGAAGTGTTGGATTGATTTTTTTTCAGTAGATGAAAACAGTAAAATTGTTAAACTGCATTAAAAAATTTTCCATATAATTGAAGGTGAAGGCATCAATAAGCAAAGCACTTTTAAGGCAATACTAAGGTTCTCAGCCTTTGGACTGTATTGCTTTTCTTCTCCCCATCACGGGGAATGAGATCCATTCTTGGCTGTTTAGTATTCTGTAATGAAAGGAAAAGTCACTCCCACATTTTTTGGGGTAGAGAAGGGGTTGTTAGTCAGCAGGACTATCAAACAACAGTAGTCATTGCTGTTGCCTGGGCTTTTGAGGGGACCAAAGGAGACCAAACCGAAAGGTTCTGTAAAGTCTGTCTAAGTGAAAGATGTTGCTGTTATCATCTGATTTAGTCATCGAAACCTCCTAAGAACCTCTACAGAGGTTTGAGATGGGGAAGGAAGGAAGTGAAAGTAAAATCAAGCATTTCTGTGACTATTTAAAGCCACCCTAGCAATAAGCCTTGCATGGTAAAGAGTTGAAATTGAATGAGGCTTTCAGTTTTCTGTGGGTTTCACTGATTCACATTAGCCCAAGGGCTTTTTGTGTCTCCCCATGTAGCAGTAGTTACACCCCTGGTTGGCATGAGATAAAATCCTGCCGTGCACACAGAAACCAACTTCTTAGGCATTAGTCAGGGTCTCTCTGAAGTAGAAGTGCCTGAGCCACTTCCGTTTTTTTATTTTTAATACTCATGATGTGTTAGAAAGTGAAGAAATGCCAAGACAGACTTACAAACACTGTGGTATACTTTTTAATGTTTATGTTTAAGAAATTAGTAGTCTTAACACATGCATTTAAGTAAGTGCAATGTAATTATTTTGCTTTTCAAAAGATTTCAACATAAAGAAGCATTTCTACAGGGTATACTATAGGCAGTGGGACCCAAGTTTAAGGTTGTGTGAGGGACAACTCCCTCCAGTCAGACGAGTGAAAGTTACTGCACATATAATCTCACTTGGGGATGATGTCAAATGTCCATGTCTGCGACCCTGTCTAAACTAGGAGGCTGGGCTAAAAGGCTCCCTTGCCCTCCTTCTCCCAGCTCCCCCCACCCACTGCCACCACTGAGACCAGATCGTAAGTACACAATTATGCCTGTGTGGGGAAGTGGGGAGGAGAAACACAAGGTATGATGGAGAGGTCCATTATGTACTCTTACACAAATATTTTTCAAGTGCATACTATGTGCAGAGGTAAGAAGATAGTACCATAGTTAAACTCATACTTAGGGTTTAAATCCTGGCAGTGTTATTCCCTACTTGAGTTATAAAACTTCTCTAAGCCTTAATTTTCTCATCAGTTAGCTCATTTGTGAGGTGCTTCATTAGTTGTTATGAGGATTAAATGACTTACCCACATAAAGTTATCTGAACAGCACCACCTTGCACTGTGAGCAAGCAGTATAAAAGTTCTTGACCTCAGGGAGCTTAATTTCCATCTCCCTCACTGCATTTTGCTCTCAGCTCTCCTGTCTGCAAGCTGGTCTACCTGAAACAACTGCCTTGCAATATCAAAAGATATCTGATAAAACGGGTAAATATAGCTCCACTGATGAGGACAAAAAAAAATCAGCTGTATTAAGGAAATTCTCTTAAAAAGTCATTAATCTTCCATTCAACAAGCAACAATGTGTGTTAGACACTGTTCGGGGAATGCTGATATTGTAGTGAACAAACCAGGTGTGGTTCTGTACTCATGGGTGGGAAAGATATTGGATACATACATTGTTCTGCACAATGTAAACATTTTGTTGCAGTATGAAGTGCATACAGAAAGTGCACAAATAAGTGCACAGCTCAACTCATTTTCATGAAACGAATGCACACATATAATTAGTACCCAGTCCAATAATCGGAATCTTACCAGAACCCCAGATGCCTTCTTGTGCCTCCTTCCACTCACAGTCACTTCCAAGGGTAAATATTATACTCATTTCTGTTAGGTTGGTCCAAAAGTAATTGCGGCATTTACCATTAAAGTAATGTGCAGTTTTCCTGCACACATTACTTTAATGACAAAAACCACAATTACTTTTGCACCAACCTAATAAAAGTCAGTATAGTATTCACTGCCAGGATTCAAACTCTAAAGTAATGGCAAAAGCCGCAATTACTTTTGCACCAAAATAATACAACCACAGATTACTTTTTCCTGTTGTAAAACTTTATGAAAAAGGAATCCTGACGTACTCTTTTGTAATGGGCTTTTTTTTTTCACTCAACATTATGTTTGTGAGAGTCATCCTTTTTTTGTATGTAGCTATAGTTTATTTATTCTCATTCTTGCATATTGTTCTCCTATATTGTATGAATTTACCATGATTTTTGTATCCATTCTATTGTTGATGGACATTTGGGTTGTGTCCAGTTTGGGAATATTACAAATACTGCTTATGTTACTATTAATGCTGTTAACATTCTTGTTCATGCCATTTGTTAGATATACATATGTATTTCTGTTGGGCATATTTTTAGGAGTGGAGTTGCTGAGTATAAGGTATGGGTATGTTCAGTTTTAGTAGATACTGTCAAACAGCTTTCCAAAGTAGTTGTAACAATTTACACTCTGGTCAGCAGAATAAGAGAGTTCTGGTTGCTTTATATTGTCTGTCTTTTTCATTTTAGTCATTTTGGAGGGTATGTTGTAGTTTTTGCATTATGATTAAAAACATTTTTTTTTTCAGAGACAGGGACTTGTTCTGTTTCTCAGGCTGGAGTGCAGTGGTGTGATCATAGCTCACAGCAGCCTCGAGCTCCTTGGTTCAGGCCACCTCAGCCTCCTGAGTTACTGGGACTGCAGTCCTCCCAGCTCAACCTCTCCTGAGTCACTGGGATTTTTCCATCTTAATTTTCATCTGTGCTTTCCTAATGACTAATGGAGTGCCTTTTCATATGTTTATTTTCTGTTTGAACATCTTCTCTCATACAGTATCTATTCTGACATTTGCCCATTTTTCTATCGAGTTATTTTCCTGTATCTCATTGATTTGAAGGAGTGCTTTAAATATTCCAGATAATAGTCCTTTGTTAGATATATGTTTGAAAATCTCTCTCTCAGTGTATGACTTTTTACTCTCTTAATGGTTTTGGAGAACTGAAGCTCTTAATTTTAATGCAGTCCAATTGATCAATATTTTTCCCCTTCACAGTTATTGCTTTTTGTGTTTTAAGAAATCTTTGCCTGAGACAGTTCTTGTGGAAACAGCTAGTGCAACACTGAGAAACTGTTGTACATTATGTTGCCTAGAGTACAAACAGCACAGTCAGGATAGCTAAAGGTGACCCCAAGAAACCAAAAGGCAAGATGTCTGCTCATGCCTTGTTTATGAAGACAATGCTGGGAGGAAAATACAAATAATAATCCAGAGGCCTCTGTAAACTGCAGTTTCCAAGAAGTGGAAATACACTGAGAGGTGGAATACAATGTGTGGTGAAAGAGAAATACAAATTTGATGAAATGGTGTGGTATACTATGAGCAGGAAATAAAGGATTATAGACCAACTAAGGGAGGCAAGAAGAAAGATGATAACACCCTCCCCTCATGCCCCACCTTCCTCTTCTACTTAGATCTCTGCCCAATAGTAAATCCACAAATTTAGGCATTTCTACCGGAGATGTCGCCAAAAACCTGGATGACTGTTATGTATGTAGAATTCCTAAAATGCCCCCATAAAGATATTTCCCCCTAATCCCAGGAACCTGGGAATATGATGAGACATCACTCACTAGTGTGGTTATCATATTTCATGGCAGGGTTAGGTAATCTCCTTAAGATAGGAGATTATCTTGGAGGATCTAATTTAATCACATGAGACCTTTTAAGCAGAGAGCTTTCTCCAGCTGGTGGCAGAAGAAGTCAGAGAGATTTGAAGAGTAAAGGGGTTATGGCTTGAAGTTGCAGCAGGCCCACCTGAGAAGGAATTCAGGAAACCTTAAAAGACCTGAGAGAGGCCCTGGCCAACAGGCATCAAGGAAAGAGGATCCTCAGTCCTACAACCACAAGGGACTGAATTCTTCCAGCAACCTGTGTGGGCCTGGAGGTGATGTCTACTTAGAGCCTCCAGGTGAGGACCCAGCTTGGCTGATGGCTTGGTTCCCGCCTTGTGATTCCCTGAGAGGAGAACCAGGTGACATCGTGCTGGACTTTGTTAAAAGCTGTTAAGTGTGTGGTAATTTGTTATACAGTGACAGAAAAATAAAACATGCAGGATAATTTTAGTGATGGTGAAAAGCTACCTTATAACAAAGTTGAAGGAGATGTATGGGAAGTAGGTGGCCAACTATAATCTAAAGCAAAGGGATGGTGATAGAGTTTGGCTATTTGTCCTCACCCAAATCTCATGTGGAATTGTAATCCCCAATGCTGGAGGAGAGGCCTGGTGGGAGGTGTTTGGATCATGGGGGCGGATGCCTCATGAATAGCTTGGGCCATCCCCTTGGTGATAAGTGAGCTCTCACTCTGAGTTCACACAAGATCTGCTTGCTCAAAAGTTTGCGGCAGCTCCCCTGTAACCCATGCTCTCTCTCTTGCTCCCATTCTTGCCATGTGAAGCGTCTGCTTCTCTTTTGCCTTCCGCCATGACTGGAAGCTTCCTGAGGACCCCCCCAGAAGCAGATGCCACTATGCTTCCTGTATAGCCTGCTGAACTGTGAGCCAATTAAACCTCTTTTCTCATAAATTACTCAGTCTCAGGTATTTCCTTATAGCAGTGCAAGAACTGCCTGATACAGATGGAATAAAGAGATCATCTAGCACACACCAGAAAAAAAGATGGAAGAGTAAGGTGAGGAGTATGAGAAAGGGAAAAAGAGGATGCAAAAGAGAATAATGAGGAAAACTGCATGTCTGTCTCCATGTGTATGTATACAGGACAACTGCAGTAACTGACCACCTCCTATTTGAGAGTCTGTTGTTCTCACTGGGTTTCATTCCGCAATTGAAATATAATTACACTGTAGTTTTTGAAGCGCTCCAGGAAATGCAAGTGGTTTCTATGTTGTGTTCATGGGTGTCACAAGCACCCAGAAATTCAATCAAAGTTGTCCATATTTCTAAACATTTTTAAAATGAAAAGAAACTCTTTTGTTATCCTCACTCCATGAATTTAGAGATCTGTGAGAGAAGGCAATTAAAAATGTTCCTGAAATTAAAAAAAAAAAAACTTATGTGTAAGGTAGTGTTATTGATTAGAAGTCTTGAGTTATCAACTGTACATCAGCTGTAATTTGTAAAAAGAACAAAACAAACTAGATGACTTTTTATGGTCTGTGCTTGGTGGTGTAATGCTGTAGAAGGTGGCACTTTTTGGAGGGGGCTGTAGCTCAAGGATGAGGCTAAACCTCTTTACACTGCTTCCGGCTGTCTTGTTTTTCTATACAGTGACATAACATTCTGCTGACATTCTTAGCTGTGGAAAAGGGGCACTGGCTGGCATGGGAAGTGTTCTGATTATTTTTAATTAAATCTAGTAGTTTGAAAACAAACTGTAGAGGTCTTCGTTGTCAGAAAAC
The DNA here is from genome assembly GCF_000001405.40 of Homo sapiens. NCBI lineage: Eukaryota > Metazoa > Chordata > Mammalia > Primates > Hominidae > Homo > Homo sapiens. The sequence continues at coordinate 67,704,031 of NC_000012.12, forward strand.
TGCATAGGTACTGCTTCAAGGAAGGTGCATAAGCCTTCTGACCTCAAGCACACACTTTGCAACATTCTGTTATTTTTTTGGTATCATTAGAACGCTAAGACTCCCTTTCCTATTAATGTTTTTATTGAGGCACAGCATAGCACAGAAGAACGCATAGAGGAGGCATAGAGCACTGTGAAGTTCCACAAAATGAACACACCTGGGTGACAACCACCCGTGATGACAAGCCCCCATGCACGCTCCTTGAAGCTCCAGCTGCCCCTTCTCCCCAGAGGCAACCTACATCCTACTCTTAATACATAGATTTGAGTTCTCTCAGAATGTTGAAATGCTTTTGAAGCAAAGTAGAGTATGCTGTTTTTAAAACTGGGAGGAAAAAAAAGAAATTTCACTCCAAGATTATGAAGATCTTTTCCTGTTTTCTTTAGGAGTTTTATTGTTTTATCTTTTGCATTTAGGTCATGATCCATCTTGATTTAGTTTTTGGTGTGGCAGTGAGGCCAGGTTACTGTCTATCCTTGGCCCAACGGAGAACCTGGTGTCTTCACTGGGATCCCTTCCTTGGCAGGTCCTGAGTTCCTATTTTCATCTCCTGAGACTGCCAGAAACTCTGATGATTTTCAGAGGCTTTCTACTTCTGTTTTTCAACCTCCACTCCTTATATACCCCCAATTCAGCACATGCTTTGAAGGGAAAGCCAACTGTGTGTTTGAAACCCTTCAGGTCTCTTTTAGAAGTTCTCTGGCTTCTCTGTCCTCAGATTCTCGGCTCTGCCATCAGCTCACCTCTCTGCTCTCTCAAGTCTTAGCCCCTCCGATTCTCTTAGCCTTGACAGCCCACCACTGCCTTCAAACAGGTGATTTCTGCATTTAATTTGGGCTTTCTTGTTTTGCTGTAGTTCCAGGTGATGTGGAGTAACAGTGCACAGTGACTCCATATCACCTGGAACAATGGAAACATTTTAAATTGCAATTATGTAAAGTAATAAAGGAAAAAAACCCATAGTGCTGTTATAAGAGGGAATATTAGGAGTCTGTGGCTCAAGTTCACTGTGTTCTGTAGAAACACTGTAGTTTATCAATATCATACCTGAGCCTTCAGCACATAGACACAGAATTAGTGAAAGAAGCCAGCAGCTAAATGCCTAATTCCACTTCCCCCATCAGCCCTTCATTTGTAATGAGTAATTTAACCTCTCTAGGCACCAGTTTCTCTGGTTCTGGCATTTATTCTTCATCTTAGTGGCAAGATTTGTCTTACGTGCTTTAAACCCTTGGAACAAAAGGCAACCTTTGACTAACTTGGCCCATTTAAAAAGAGGTACCACAGAGGTTCCCTTCACTCATTTAAAGTGGTGCGTAGGGGCTGGGGAAGGGGTAGAAGCGGGGAGAAAAAAGAAAAAAAAATGGCGTGTGTATGCTTGAAAAATCAAGACAATCACTTTTTGTTTGTTTGTTTTGTTTTGTTTTAAAGATGAGGAGGCAGAAGAAATTCCCACAGGGCCACATACTACCAAAAGCTACTGAGAAATAATCCCTTGAGGAAGGATATCTAGGGCAAATGTCACTTTGCTTTCATGCCATTTCTTCTATGGTTACTTCCACATCTGCTCCAGCAGCCTGGGGTGAACACAGATTTATAAGAAGTCGTTTGTACAAAATAAAATTAAAAGCCACAAGTTAATGCTACCATAAGATTAAGGCTGAGCTTAACTTGATAATATTTAGTGTCCTAGGAAGGCATAGAGTTCAGCTTACTTTTTTTCTCTCATGGTTGAATTTGCAACTGATGATGCCAAGTGATTGAGAAAGGAGTATCTTAAAAGAGAGCCAAGGGACGGGCAGGTGTGGAGGCAGGCTGGACAGTCATCTCTATCCTTAGATAAGGACAGGGATGGGCAGTGCTTCCTGCCAGCTGTCTTCAAGCTGATGGAATTCTGTCATAGAGTAGGGCAGCAGGGACCTTAGAAAATCTGAGTGATCACCCCTTTGGGAGAAAAAAATGCATAAATAATTAATTAAAATTCCCTTTTAAAGTAGGGTCAGAAGAATATGAATGCTGTCTACGTGGGAGTCAACACCCAGAGATAACATCAGTTAATAGAGGATGTGATGGCTCAGAAGATAAACAAAACAGAGTGTAGGAGAATGCTAAGAAAAACAAATGAAGGGAAATAGGGAGGGGATAAAGCAGATGATGAATTGGGAGGAAGCGGCTACTTGGGGACAAGCCAGGGAAAAATGTGGAAAAAAAAGGAGCTTAGAAAAAGCTAAACACATGTAATTGCTGGGGTGGGGGTGGGGCCATGAGCATTCACTAGAAAAGCATCTTCTGCAAAGGCTTGGACCTTGACTTCTTCATTTAATATTTGGGATATTTCTCTTGAGATTTGGCTCCAGGAAAATAGCAGAAACAGCCACGTGCTGAACAGAGAAAGGCCCCAAAACCTACCAGAGGCAGTCTCTCAAGAGAGTTCCGTCTTTCTCTCTCTGTCCTTTTGAGTTCTCATCCTCTCTCTCAATTTTTGCCATGCTTTTTCCATTATTTTATGAAGCTTTCCCATCTTGTCCCTTCTGATATTTCTTACTCCCATCCAGTTGCCATAGGAATAGCCATAGGAAGTAGAATAATAGTAATAAAAACAAAGGTGATAACATATATTATTAGATATTACATGTATTATGGTATATGATTTATTATATAATATATACCATTATTCTATATTCTATATATTAATGCACAGTATATTACTATTAGTTTAACAGTTGAGAATAAGCATATACCATTCTTGAGAGTCTTCTCTGTTTTATTGTGAGATGTGAATGGTCCCTGAATTTGAGTTTTAACTTGGCACTTGAAGATTCGCAGTGTTTTTAAAGGCATTCTAACTCTTGCTGGATCTCAGAATACCCATTCCCAAAACAGTACAATTTCTGTTATTATTTTGAAATACATATTTCCTATATTATAGCACTATGAAACTGTCAAGCAAGTTGTAATCATAAATATAATGATACTTTGTACTTTTAAAGTGCCCCATGCTCTTAGAGCCAGAATTTCTCAAGCATTCTTGCAAGCCAGGCAAGCAATACCCACCAGTGAAAAACTGAAATATAGAAGTTAAGAGCTTGAGCCAGTGCCTTAGAGCAAGTCAGAAATAAAGCTGGAATTTAAGGGAAATATCTTACACTGGACATTGGACTTCTTATCCTGGCAAAGATATAAAATGAGAAAAATTATGAAATGAGAAAAATTATAAATTAGAATTGAGGAAATATTTTAATCAAGCTTATATAGTTACCAATTAAAAGCTAACATCATAAATAATGCCATTTAAGAGTAGTACTAATAAAGAATTTTTTTTTTTTTTGACGGAGTCTCACTCTTGTTGCCCAGGCTGGAGTGCAATGGCGTGATCTTGGCTCTGCCTCCTAGGTTCAAGCGATTCTCCTGCCTCAGTCTCCTGAGTAGCTGGGATTACAGGTGCCCACCACTATGCCTGGCTAATTTTTGTATTTTCAGTAGAGACGGAGTTTCACCATGTTGGCCTGGCTGGTCTCGAACCCCTGACCTCAGGTGATCTGCTTGCCTCAGCTTCCCAAAGTGCTGCGATTACAGGCGTGAGCCACCATGCCCAGCCTAAGCTTCTATTAAAGATAAAGCCGTGTGCTTTATATTTTAAAAGACTTTGTGCAATGGTCAAAGAGAAAATTCAGAGTCCTGGATCTTGTAACATAATAGGGCCAATACGAGCTGGAGATTGCTAGGCTGACATTGTATTTGTCCAGTCCAGAAACTGTTGGAGAACTAAGGTCTGACGCTGTTGCTGGAGGGAGGGTAGTTGGTTAGATGAGAAGGAATTAGGAATCAGAACCTGGAATTTGGTTGGTGTTTGCCGTGAAGTTGTGTCACACCCACAGATGTGAAAACAACCCATAAACGCAAACTGTCAATGCCCATCTGTGTACCTTCCATCTTTCATTAGTGAATAATTGCTAGACTGCAGACCTCATGTTCTGTGCTTCTTTGTAACCCACAACTCTTAGCACCAGGCTGTGTTGAGCATGTGGAATGAAAATTGGATTTGAGGTCAAATGACTTGCATTTAGGTCCCATGCTGGCTGGCTGAGTGGCCTTCAATGAGTCACTTGACCTCTTTGGACCCAACTTCACCTTGTATGTAAGAGGGGTGACATGAATATCTCATAGAATTGTTGCTTCAATACATGAGATACTGGATCTGGCAGAAGAGCTTTGTAAACTATAAAGTACAATAGAAATATTAGTTACTGTTAAATAAATAAAGGATTATCTGTGTCACTCAGTAACCATACACTGATGCTTTCTGGTCCTACCTGTCCTTTGCTTCTAGCACCTACCTCTGGAGAGACCTCTTCAAGAAGCTACAAAATGTATCCTGCCCCCAGGGCCAGCTTCATGGGCATATGACCTGTGCAATCTCATAGGTTCCCATGCTCAGAGGCCCAGGGCTTAGTTTAATGCTCTAGCTGTCCTCTTAATATTCTTAATAATTTTTGAAGAAGGGGCTTGTGTTTTCATTTTGGACTGGGCCTTACAGATTAGGGAACCAGTGATGGCTGCCATTTCTTTCTAACTTAGAATAAAATCCCTGATTTTAAATTCCTTGAAATTTGCTTCATTCCTAATCTTTTGCTTTGAGGATCTCCATGGAGCAAATAGTTATAAATTAATATTTCTGGTTACAATACTTTATGTATATGAACTATTTTAAAGTATATAATATATAATAGTTTCTAGGTAAAGCAGAATGCAAAATAGTGACTTGGTGATTGGGATTACTACTATTTTCCCTCTAAATGATCTTGATTCTGAATTTCTGAAGGAAATATTTCTTTCTATCGGTAACACAAGTGCCAAGCACACTGTGAATAGTCAAGAGAAGACAGTGGAATGTGTGAACTACGTCATGTACATGACATCAATCTATTGTGAGAGGCGTTCTCTTTGGATGATAAAAACAATCTTATAGGGTGATGGTTTTATTTCATGTACTGGTTTTATTTCATTTATTGTGGCTTAAACTAAGGGTATTTGAATTTCAAAACACCAGTTGGTGCAGCTTTCTTCAAATTCTTTTACAGCAACCCATTGAAACCTTAGACTGTCTAGGAAAACAAATATAATTTATGTTTGTTTCCAATCATAATATAGACAAACCTGATATTCTTGTTAAGGGAAGTTAGGTTGTTTGACTTTGTTGGGTGTATTGTTTGGCAATAAAATGGTGCTCAAATACTTTTAAAGTACATATAATTTGTTTTCAATTATAAGTAAAGTTGGCTCACCTTAGATGGGCTTCAGCTATACCTTTGTAAGTGGTGGACATTTCTGCAGGGGGAGGTAAATAGTGGCAATTTGGAATAGAAAGTTTGTGTTAGTTATCTATAGCTGCACAAAAACTTGCCAAAAATGTGTCAGTCTGGTATTTGTCTTTCACACTGTTTCTGAGGGTCAGGAATCTGGGAGCAGCTTAACTAACTTGTTCTGGCTCAGGGTCTTCCATGAAGTGGCAGTCGAACTGTTAGGTCGTCCACTGGGCTGCCCAACTGTCCATGAGACTGGCCACTGGCTTCCACCAGAGCAAGTGATCCAAGGGAAAGCAAGACAGGACCAAATGACATCCATAATCTCTCTTCCAGAGTGGTATCTACCACTCCTCCTGCACTCTACTGGTTACACACCAACCCTGATACAGTGTGGGAGGGGACCATATTAGAGTGTGAGTATTGGAAGCCAGAAATCGCTGGAGACTATTTTAGAGGCTGGCTATCACAGGGTAGGTGGGTACTGGCATATTCCTGAGTTCCGCTGAATCCTCTGCAAAAGAGGGGCAATTTCCAAAGTTTGTCTTCTCAGAAGCCCCACACAGCAATTTGAAGGCACGGAAGACCATACTCTGGTCAATTTCCAAGCCCTGTCAATGTATCTATAGTAGATACTGAATTGGGGGTGACAAGCTTGAAAGAACAAGCATCTACATAAATGAGACCATGTGAAGTGGCCCTACTTACTACACTCTTATTGCCATGTTAAGTGGCACCAGATTGAGGGTACAGGTTGTCTTAGAGAAAGATAAGCAGAAAACAGTATGGTATGACGGATCACCAAGCAGTGGGGAGTGCATTCCAGACTCTATACTGTGAATTTAGGGTTTCGTGCCAGTTTGCAAAGCTTCCTGAAGGTAGCGGGGAAGGCTTGGTGGAGAACTGAATAAAGAGATGACATGGAGAGGTGAAAGGGCCTGAGGGGAGGGTGGAAGCCCTGAGAAACGCAGGAAAGGGCAAGAGGCTGGTTCAGCAGCCTCACAGGCTGGGGTGAGGCTGGCTTCTACTTTCAGGGAAAGGCATAAAGGCTCCCACTCACCTTTTACATCAGGAAGATGAGGGAAAAAGAGTTATCAGTAGAGGAGAAGCCAAAGGTGTGGGCATTTATCAGACACCCACCTTATGCAATGCACTTTCCGTGGGTTTCGATTAACTCCCCACATGACTGGGAGAGGAGAGTGTGGTATTCTCTTCTTTACAGAAGCAAGTCTTGAACCCAGGATCATTTGCATCCAAATCACACACTATTTTCACAAAACATCATTGCTGTTGGGTGCCTCAGCTGGAACCTGTGAAAAACAGACGGGACTCCCTGGTGACTCAGAATGAGAGGAGGGAAGGAGGACACTGTGTAGTCAGCATATGGCCATGGGTAAACTTCCTCCTTTCTGTTCACAGTCCTAGGAGGCAGACTTTGACCCTCATAAAGGCACAGCTGTCCACAATCTTTGCCCGGCCTCTAGTTCTCCAGACAAACCCAGCATAGACCAGATTCAGGGTGTGCTGTGGGAGCCAGGGAGAGGTGCTCCCGTTTCAAAATGGTAGTGTTTGCTCTATGTTACTTTAAGTTTAAAAAGTGATTTCTCTTTTGGAGACGAGAGTGGCAGTTTAAAGAAGACAGAATAATTATGTAGGCAAGAATGTGAAAGGAAGGACCAAATCACAGTGTGGAAAATAAAACCAGAGTGACATTTGCTGCTTAGAGAGTGTAGTGTAGACAGCATGGACAGATAGGCTCAAATTCAGGCTCCACCTTGAAGTGGATTTGTGACTTAAAACAACAAATGTAAGCTCCAGGTCTTACCTGTGAAATGGGGTTGATGATGCCCACCTCTCTAGAACACTGTGTTAAAGGAGGTAACTTTAAATACTGCTATAGGTAGCATGTAGTAGGTGCTATATAAGTTGTAGTTATAAGTTGTAGTTCCTTTTTTTTTTGAGATGGAGTCTCACTCTTGTTGCCCAGGCTGGAGTGCAATGGCATGATCTCTGCTGACCGCAACCTCCACCTCCCGACCTCCCGTGTTCAAGTGATTCTCCTGCCTCAGCCTTCCGAGTAGCTGGGATTACAGGCGCCTGCCACCATGCCCGTCTATTTTTTTTTTTTTATTTTTAGTAGAGACCGGGTTTCAACATGTTGGCCAGGCTGGTCTCGAACTCCTGACCTCAAGTGATCCGCCTGCCTCGGAAGATTAATTTAAAATATTATCTTCTGCTTAGAGTGATGGCAAGCTGGAGGAATTGGGATAATGATGGTGTGTGGGATGGTGTGGGGGAGTGGATGTGGGACAAAATAAAGCTCAGGCAGAAGATGGGATTTCCTTATGGATCTGAAGATGCTTTGTAAAGAATGTGCCATGCACATTATCAGTGGGACCCACCTCATGCCATCAGTGTGTTTGTGGCAGAAGAAGGGAGGATGGAACACAAGGTTCCTAAAACCCAGCCAAATGCTTGTTCCTGCACCATATCATCTTGGGAATGTGGATGCCACATCTCTCTTTTGACATTTCTTGGTTATTTAAAGTTTAGCTGTAGCACAGCCTGCATATGTCTAATGCCTGGTGGGAGAAAGTGAATTAATTAAAGTCCCCTCATGCTGTTATTAATCAGCTTCTCTACAATTTTTATAGGAAGGCCAAGTCATCAAAGAGAAACCAAGACTTTCCTCCGTGGAGAGCTTGCATGGGGAAAGGAGAGAGACTCAATCCTCAGGAGAAAAGTTGAGGAGGTAGAGCTTTGGGGGACAGGGCCATCTGAGCCTGAGAACTGTAAGAAGCTTGCCTCTGGAGGGACCAGGAACATCTTATGGGGTGAGGGAATGCTGGTGGGGAAGATTCAGTCAACCAAAAGGAATCTTGCCTAGCTAGGCTTTCACTATATATGTGGAATGGAAGAGCCTTAAAAAAATAGATGATAGATAAATAGATAGAAAAGATGATGAAGAAAACAAAATTGTTGGGGAAGATTGGAAATTAGTCTCAAAACTACTTTGTAGTTATGTCTCTGTATTTTAGAACTTTTGGCTTAAACTAAAAGGTAGCAAAAATATATAGTTTATGCTCTAATGTAGATTTAATTTTTATCAACAAAAAATTTGTATATGACATTACAGAAGATGGGTGCAGATAAACATTAACCATTTATTTATTAAACTTATCAACTATAATGTAGCAGAATATTTGCGATTACGATTAAAGTAAGGTACCTAAATCAACTGCTTTCAGCTTTGCAATCACCATTCTAGTATCTAATTATGTAGGTCTGGTAAAGATAATTTCCTGCAAAATTCCCCCAGTTTAGAGCTATTCCTTACACTACCCATTGTGCAGACATTTTAAAGGAAAACAGCAAAGAGAAAGCTCAGTGCCAGGAGCGGTGGCTCATGCCTGTAATCCCAGAACTTTGAGAGGCCGAGGCGGGCAGATCACTTGAGATTAGGAGTCTGAGACCAGCCTCGCCAACATAGTGAAACCCCATCTCTACTAAAAATAAACACACACACACACACACACACACACACACAAATTAGCCATGCTTGGTGGCACGTGCTTGTAATCCCAGCTACTTGGGAGGCTAAGGCAGGAGAATTGCTTGAACCTGGGAGGCAGAGGTTGCAGTGAGCTGAGATCGCACCATTGCACTCCAGCCTGGACAACAGAGTGAAACTCCATCTCAAAAAAAAAAAAAAAAGAAAGCTCAGTGCTAACCTAGTGTAAAAGTGTGCATTTAAGTCCTCTAGTTTATGTCATTTGTATAGTATATTCTCTGGGACTATAATCTGTGTTTAAACAAAAACAGCAAGGAGGTACCTCCTCTTTCGCCTTTGGAGCCCCCTGCTCCTTCTGTCTCTGTACGAGGGAGCTTCTTCCGTCTTCTCCCTTCCTTCTTGCCTATTAAACTCTCCACTCCTTAAAACCACTCCACGTGTGTCCGTGTCATTTTTTCTAATTTGACATGAGGACCAAGAACCCTGGTGTTCCTCCACTTATCAGAGCCTTATCATTTTGGTGTGTTGGCCGGGAAAGGAAATTCAATCATCAGACTGGTGTGGAAGCTCGGAATTTATCTTGGGACCTCAAGCGGAGAGGATCACCCAACTCATGGGTATTTGAGGATACAAACCCATGGATGGGCTCGGCTTTAAAGGTCTTATCTGAGATTGCCTGATGGAACAGAGTTTCATCAAAGCCAATCCAAAAGGCCTATGTGGAAATAACCATTCTTGCTGCACTTCATGCAAATAATCAAGCCAAGTATAAGACTAAAGTTCATTCATAATTAGTTTTTACCAAAAATGAGGACTGGAGAGAAAAATTTCGCTCCAAAGCTTATCATGCATTTGTCATTAAATCCTAGTCTCATTAATTGTTTTTAAGCTTTTTTGCCTACATTTTAGATTAACCCTGCTTATTCCTGTGAATCAAGTGGTAATCTCCTGCAGCTTGGAAGAAAGAAAAAGGGATGGGTAATGTAAAAATCTGGACCAATATACTAGTTTTGGGCAATTATCCTGCAAATTCTGCTCGGTAATAAAAGTAAGTAGGGTACCAATAACCCGGAGGTTTCTTTGTTTGGGAAAATAAAACCAAGGCTTCATAAACCACCAACGGGAAATTCTGTATCTGGCAAATAAAACTTTACATGGAAATTATCTACTACACCACTCTTGTGGGAATTGCTATACTCCTTCTACTATTTGCAATAGGGTTATACACAGTAGCACCTTCTAACTGAGATATTAGACAAAGTTTCCATTGCTGTTGTATTTTGCTTATTATCTTTATAGCAGGGATAATAGTTATGGACAAAAAGGAAGCATGAAAGTTTTACTATCACTGAGTCTGCTAGGACTTCTTTTTGGGTCTAGTGATGCACTTTTAAATGAAACATGCTGCTTTTGGATTAACATCTCTAGTATAGTAAAGGAAAATCTAAGCAGACCCTTAGAAACTGGGTCTACCCAACATGGTGATTCCCGCAGCCTTCTTGCCCTTGGCACACGTGTTCCTGGCAACATGACCGCCCCCACATATCCCCACGTGTGTAGAACATCATGGTGCCCTGCATTTGCATATTAAAAGGCTAGGGTGGGAGGGCCAGCTCTTTCCAGGGCCACGTGAATGACATGCCTGGTCAAACCAATCCCCTGAGCCCTGTGCAAATGAGACACAACCTCCTCCAGCCTCTGCATATTATACCTGGCTGGTGTCCACCACACTTGCCACCTCCTTTCGTGGCTTTGGAGCCCCCCACCCTCTGTCTCTGTACTGGGGAGCTTCTTCCTTCTGTTTTCTCCCTTCCCTCTTGCCTATTAAACCCTCTGCTCCTTAAAACCAAAACCAAAACAAAACAAAAACAAACAAAAAACATAACAATGAAAAACTAGGGAATTAACCTCTTTGTTTACTCGTTGTAAACAAACCATCAGATAATCTAAACCACAAGAAGCTTTGTCTCTCTGGCAGGTTTATTTATCTGAGTACATGAATCATCCTCTCACCTCTTCACCCTCCCTTGCCAGAGCAATGTGATTTTAATGGTGTCCAGATGTCTTGGAGGTATTTGCTTGTTTCACTGTACCTTACACTCAGGTTAACCTTACACTCAGGTTAAAGAAAAGGCCTGATGGTTCCTTTTTTATTATTTAAAGCCAAAGCTGATGATTCCATAAGTGAAAAACACTTGCAAAATATATAGTAAGAAAATGAACGGATGTTACATTTAGATTCCAGAAGAGATTCCAGAAGAATTTTAGAAACATTTTGGAGGTGGGGAAAGTGGAGAAAAGAATGTGTATTTATTCACAGGACTTATGTGACTTACCTACAAGAAGTTGTAAATATTTCCCTTCAAAACAAGAATATATGCCTACTATATCCCTCTGTGATTTATAAGTGAGAGGTTTGAAGGGGAGAGACTCACGTGGCATGGGAGACTTCCTGGGGCTCATGATGGGGAGGGCATCAATCATCAAATCAGATGAAAATTCCTGAAGGCATTGACCTTTAGTGAATTCTAGGTCTGGTATCAATGGCTGCCTCTTCCTCGAGTTGCTGGAGTCCAGTGGCTGCAATCCTGGGATGCACAGTGTTCTCTCTGGTCCCACTGAAGTGCTTCTCTGAAGAAGACAAGTTGAAGTGGTTCCCAAGAATGAACCCTAGCTGATGGGACTCTTGCATTTCAAGCATGGTAGACAGATACAGTTTGTCATTCCCTCAAAGACACTCCTTCGTCTGAGAGACTAGGTTTTTCCAGCTTCCCTGTGGCTAGGTATGATTTTGATCTTGTGACTACATTCTGGCCAATGAGATGTAAACAGAAATGTTTCTCAGCTTCTCACACCTTTTCTAAGAGAAAACCGTGTCCTTTTTCTTTCCCCACTTTGTGGACTGGAACATGGACCACTCCAGTGATGGCAAAGAGGGAAGAGGGAGGCTGAGTCTAGACCCTCGAGGACTTTTTGAGACTGCCGTAACAGCAGTTGTGGACTTTTTACACCTACTGATTTCATTTAGGTAAGATAGAAATGCATGTCTATCTTGTTTAGGCCACTGTTATTTTGAGTTTTCTGGTCCTTGCAGCTAAACTAGGTAAACAGCAGGATTTCATTTTTGTTTGTTTGTTTTGTTTAGGCCAAGATTTTTAATACACCAGTGACAATACAGAGATACTGACACGATAGGCAAATGGGAGAGTACGGAGTTTGGTCGTAGCCCTGTTCCTGGGATTCTAAAGCAGTTTCCTGATCCATGTCAGTGGGTCTCCTGGGGTCACGCACAAGTCTCTTTTAGGGCCAGGCTGCTCCTGTTAGCAGTAAAAAAAAAAAAAAAAAAAGTAATAAAAGGTAACATGTCAGCAATTCCTTAAATATATTTTATTTGAAGCCAGTTAAGAGAGCTGGTGGAATTCATAATAAGTTCTGCCCTTTAGGATAGTTATTTCTGAGAAGAGAAGAAGGAAGTTGAGAATTAAACATATTCCAAGTAGATATCCTTCAAAGAGGTTAGGGAATGCAGGAAAAAAAATACAAGACTGTCTCATAAGCAAAGAATTGTTATTCAAAATTTATAAAAATAGAAGACAGGAAGAGTGTATACCCTACTATTCAGATAAAACAAACTCAACAAAGATTGTTGCAAATATGGCAAAACCCCAGCTCACTGCAATTTTTGCTTTTTCTTGTGTCCTAGAACTTCTTTTATGCCAATGATAGTAAGAATGGTTCTGCATTAGTTCCTCCCCTGAGCTGTTTGCTTGTCATTGGGAACTCTCAGCCACAGTTCACATCTCATCCTTAACTAGGACCCTCCTTTTTCCTTTGCTTCATTTAGCACAGGGGGTGGCAAACTATGGCCCATTGGCCCGACCACAGTCTGTGGGATAAGAATGGTATTTATATTTTTGAATGGTTCAAATAGTTTAAAAAAGAATAACATTTTGTGACACAAAAATTATATGAAGCTAACATTTCAGAGTCTATAAATAAAGTTTTATTTGAACACAGCCTTGCCTGTTCATTTACACATTGTCTATGGCTGTCTTCACACTCCAGTGACAAAGTTAAATAGTTGCAACATAACCTGCAAGGCCTGAAAAGCCTAAAATAGTTATTATTGGCACTTTACAGAGAAAGTTTGCCAACCTCGGATCTAGTATGATGTGACATCTTAGTTTTGGAATTCAGAAGTTGAATTCTGGAATTTGAGAGCTGAAAGACTATTTAGAATGCCTCTTGTCAACATCCCTGACACATACCTGGCTAAAGTCAGCAGTCTTATTTTTTGTACAGCTGTTCTATTCTTAGAAATATTTACTTAAAAGGGAATCCTCTGATGTTCATTTATTTGTCCTAGTTTTACTCTCAGCATGGCCAGGGGTTGGCAAATAATAGGTGCTTTAAACTATTTAATTATTTGCCGAGCACAGTGGCTCACACCTGTAGTCCCAGCACTTTGAGAGGCCAAGGTGGGAGAATTGCTTAAGGCCAGGAGTTCAAGACTAGCCTGGGCAACACAGGGAGACCCCATCTCTACAAGAAATAAAAAAATTAGCCAGGTGTGGTGGTGCTTGCCTGTAGTCCTAGCTACTTGAGAGGCAAAGGTAGGAGGATCGCTGAAACCCAGGAGGTCAAGGCTGCAGTGAGCTGTGATTGTACTACTGTACTCCAGCCTGGGTGACAAAGCAAGACCCTGTCTCAAAAAACTAAAAAAAGGGCCGGGCACAGTGGTTCACACCTGTAATCCCAGCACTTTGGGAGGCCAAGGCGGGCAGATCACGAGGTCAGGAGATTGAGATCACCCTGGCTAACAAGGTGAAACCCCGTCTCTACTAAAAATACAAAAAAAAAAAAAAAATTAGCCAGGTGTGGTGGCGGGCACCTGTAGTCCCAGCTACTCCGGAGGCTGAGGCAGGAGAATGGCGTGAACCCGGGAGGCAGAGCTTGCAGTGAGCCGAGATCGTGCCCCTGCACTCCAGCCTGGGTGACAGAGTGAGACTCCATCTCAAAAAAAAAAAAAAAAAAATTAATACTAACTTAGCACTTACTACATGATACAATTAGTCTAAGAACTTTCCAAGTAACGCACAGAAGACTATGAGGTAGAAGAACATTTTACAGGGAAGGATGCTGAGTCACAGAGAGGTTAATTAAATTTTCCAAGCACACGCATCTTGCAAGAGGCAGAGCTGTGAGTAAAACTCAGTCTGGCTCTGGAGTCCAGGTTCTCTGCTGCTCTATTTACCAAAGAGTTAACGAATCAACATTTGATTGTTGCATTGTATGTGTCAGTTTTTCAAATATGTGGAGATGCCTACCAAATTCCTAAAAAAAGGATTTACAGTTCCTCCAAAAGCTCAAGCCATATAATGCTGCAATATGAGAAGCAAAGGAGAATAGTCTCGCTACACTTTCTGTTTTCTCTAATTGTTCTCATTTCTACGTACCCCCAGGATAGTGTGTCTGGAATTGGTGGGTTTTTGGTCTCACTGACTTCAAGAATGAAGCCGCGGACCCTCGCGGTGAGTGTTACAGCTCTTAAGGTGGCGCGTCCGGAGTTTGTTCCTTCTGATGTTGGGATGTGTTCGGAGTTTCTTCCTTCTGGTAGGTTCGTGGTCTTGCTGGCTCAGGAGTGAAGCTGCGGACCTGCACAGTGAGTGTTACAGCTCGTAAAGGCAGTGTGGACTCAAAGAGCGAGCAGCAGAAGGATTTATTGCAAAGATCGAAAGAACAAAGCTTCCACAACGTGGAAGGGGCCCCAAACAGGTTGCCACTGTTGGCTCCGGCAGCCTGCTTTTATTCTCTTATCTGGCCCCACCCATATCCTGCTGATTGGTAGAGCTGAGTGGTCTGTTTTGACAGGGTGCTGATTGGTGCGTTTACAATCCCTGAGCTACACACAAAGGTTCTCCACATCTCCACTAGATTAGTTAGATACAGAGTGTCAACACAAAGGTTCTCCAAGTCCCCACCAGAGTAGCTAGATACAGTGTCGATTGGTGCATTCACAAACCCTGAGCTAGACACAGGGTGCTGATTGGTGTGTTTACAAACCTTGAGCTAGATACAGAGTGCCAATTGGTGTATTTACAATCCCTGAACTAGACATAAAGGTTCTCCAAGCCCCACCAGAGTAGCTAGATACAGAGTGTCCATTGGTGCATTCACAAACCCTGAGCTAGACACAGGGTGCTGATTGGTGTATTTACAATCCCTGAGCTGGACATAAAGGTTCTCCACGTCCCCACCAGACTCAGGAGCCCAGCTGGCTTCACCCAGTGGATCCCGCACAGGGGCTGCAGGTGGAGCTGCCTGCCAGTCCCGCGCCGTGCGCCCGCACTCCTCAGCCCTTGGGTGGTTGATGGTACTGGGCGCCGTGGAGCAGGGGGCGTTGCTCATCGGGGAGGCTTGGGCCGCACAGGAGCCCACGGAGGGGGTGGGAGGCTCAGGCATGGCGGGCTGCAGGTCCCGAGCCCTGCCCCGCGGGAAGGCAGCTAAGGCCCAGTGAGAAATCGAGCGCAGCGCCGGTGGGCTAGCACTGCTGGGGGACCCAGTACACCCTCCGCAGCCGCTGGCCCGGGTGCTAAGCCCCTCATTGCCCGGGGCCGGCAGGGCCGGCCGGCTGCTCCGAGTGCGGGGCCGCGAAGCCCCCGCCCACCCGGAACTCCAGCTGGCCCGCAAGCGCTGCGCGCAGCCCCAGTTCTAGCTCGCACCTCTCCCTCCACACCTCCCTGCAAGCTGAGGGAGCCGGCTCTGGCCTTGGCCAGCCCAGAAAGGAGCTCCCACAGTGCAGCGGTGGGCTGAAAGGCTCCTCAAGTGCCGCCAAAGTGGGAGCCCAGGCAGAGGAGGCGCCGAGAGCGAGCCAGGGCTGTGAGGACTGCCAGCACGCTGTCACCTGTCAATAGTAAGTGGTTTGAAAACCATTTAGTATAAAGAAAGGTAGAAGAATCTAGGAATATTTAACCTGGAGAAGACAACTCTTGTTAGGAAAATGGCTGGAGCAATTCTAGGCTTTCCATGATATTCATAAAATCCAGAGCAAAAAAGAGCATTTCCCCAGTGCCTACCTCTTAAGAACAAAGAAACTTATTTCCTCAAAATTTCCGGGAAAGTTTTGGTGTTAGTCAGGGTCTTTCAAGAAGCAGATGTTAAGATGGACTGATATGTGCTCGGATTTTACTAGGGAAAATGAATGTGTAAATGGAAATAGGCAGGGAGCTGGGAAGGCTGCAAGAGCGTCAGGCACTGATGGAAATTTGACTTCAATTAAAGGAAAGGGAGAGAAAGGCCGAATGGAAGTGCCTTATACTGTGCAGTCGAAGCAAATCTTAGGGGAATCCTTCACCCCAAATCAGCTGACAAAGGAGTTGTGTCTCCCAGAAATTAGTCTGTCTTAGTATTCCTTAGGATTCACAAACTTGGGGATGGATTCCAAAGTGCAGCAGCTGGGGCCCTTGGTCAATTATGCTGCCATAGAAGGAGGTGTTCTGGGTGCATTCTCGTGACTGCTACTTCCCTCCTCACGTATCATTGGTCTATTATTAAATCAGTCCTTGTCTCAGGGGATTAATGACCTCATTGGCTGAGGCCTGAATTCTTGAGCCAATCACCCTGGCAAGGGGGCTGGAATTTCCCATAGGCCCATTAAGTCTACTGTCTGGGCCAGTTCCCCTGAAGCATGTGGGTTGTGGGGAGGAGGGACTGATGTCTAAATAAAAAATCTGGATATCTTTAGGAAGGGAAAAGGGAAGTCTCATCTATGATACTGAAATTTGAATCCCTATCTATCTGAGGGCAAAGTCTGTGTTTATTTATCTGCAACACGACACCTCTTAAAATTTATGGTGGCTACAGCTTTTAAAAGTTGTGGTTTTGGGAGCAGGAGGATGGGGTCAAATTCTAAGCCACTGAAAATCATCCTGTTATCTATGCCATATGTGTTGTCAAGCCTGGTTTTAAAGGCTTCATAAATTGTCGATGAGCTGGCATGTGCAGTAGAAATATAACCATCATAATAGCTAATAATTTTAGAGCAATAATGATGCGTCTGATACTGTATTTTATATCCATTCTCACACTTACTGCCCATGGTACCTATTAGATAAGCATCCTTACTAGTTGCAGTTTATCTAGGAGGACACTGAAGTCTTAGGGGGTTAAGGAACTTCCCTGAGAACACAGTTAAGAAGGTAACTGGCTGATTGTCTGATTGCAAAGTTGTAACAGCTCCTGTCCCTCCTCACAATTCTTACTCTATTGCTTCTCCAGCTTGTTTCAACAATGCTTTTAAACAATAAGTTTGCTTTTCAGGAGCCATCCTCTTCCAGGTGAGAGTGGGAGAGCTTTATGTTCTCTCAGGCACTGTATTAGTGGCACTCTACCAACATGGGCTTGCGATGGCCATTGAAGGCTCTTAAGACTGGCACAATGCCAACGGGAAGGGCAGGTTGCCCTCAATGTCCAGGAATTGTAGGTAGCCGAATACAGTGCAGTGCTTTGGAATTACAGCACTTGGCTGACCTTGTAAAGGGAACTGTTTTCCTTATCCATTTTGGTTGCTTAGCTATGTGTTAGTACACACCAAGATCATGTGGAGCTGGCACTTCAGGAACCGAAAGAAAGACAGACAAGGACCAAAATAACAAGGGCCATGCAGAGAATTCCACTGGTCATCTCAGTGACAACTCATATGATTACAGTAATCTTTACTGTGGGTGTGCCCTGCTTTAGGGAACATATGTTAACAACAGATAAATGAAGGAGTGATTATTCACTTTAAAAAGGCATAATGAATTTACAGAAGGATTCACTGGAAGAGTCTTTTAAATATCAATGAAATGCAAGTAAAATGCAATTTATTATACACAATATCATGTAATATGTTTTCAAGAGTACAGTCATTGGGTTAAGGGCTGTTTACATAATTATATTTTGAAGAAATATAATTCAGATAGCTTCCACAAGATCAAATTTCAATATATTTTCATATGTCTATACATCAAGATATATTCATTAGGGCCCTACTATGTGCAAGGCACTATAATATATTGACTCAGTAGGTCTAGGGTGGGTCCCAGATTCTGCCTTCCTAACAAGTCCCCAGACCACACTTTGAGTAGCGAGGGCTTCTAGAGATTCAGGCCCTCAGCTTCCACGGCTACTGATGGTCACTGGGTGTTGTGGTCTGTGCAGCTGGAGTGAATCCCTATTACCGTAATTGTTCCAGTCTCTAAGACCTGAGTGAGAGCACCTGGTTGGCAGCACAGGCAACACACCTGCACTTTATTCCTTGGAGAGTAGAAGCTTGCTATCTGCTCTCTTCCACTTCTGTAGTGGAAGGTAGGCCCTGCTTCCCACCATGACTCACAATAGAAAAAATCCCTAAACAAGTGCAGATGCTGAGCACCTAAAAAGATGATAAATGTCCACTGTATGAACTATGCGAATTTATAAGTAAAAACTTCATTTAGTTATGTAGCTCACCTTTGCATGATCCATTGTGCAGATGTGGAAGTCCCAGGAGCCTGGTCAGCCACATGATTCTAGCCTTGGACTCTTCCCCCTCCAATCTCAAATGGAAGAAATGGCTCTCCTTTGTCACATGCCCTTTCTTATCTGGCATGCAAAATGCTCCACATTCCAATTTTCATTTGCTTTATTTGTTTTCCATTTAACTGCAGTTTTTTCTTGTGTCAGGAAGTTTTTTCTCTGGATTTAGTTTGTGAGAGATGATGAACTCCCCAGGTATTTAGTTCATCCACATGTTAGGATTTACATGGCAAGTTCTCCAATATTAAAAAATAAAGGTAAATCTTATGCTGCAGTTAAGAAGAATGAGAAATGTCAAAGTTTACAACTGTTTGTTCCCCTTTTAGGTTCACTATCCCCATCTAAACTGTAAGCTGACTTTTATTAAAATGTAACATTTACCTTCCCAAAGTGAATTTGTCTTCCTATAATAAGAATAGGAAAATATCACAATTTACTGCAAAAAAATAGCAAATACAGAAAAAACCTAAGTAATTTTTAATAAAAACCATAATTTTAAAATAATGCCTTTCTTAAATATACAATACTCTAACAGAGGCCAAAAAATTGGCATGAGAATTCAAATAAAATCTAATATCCTATGAGAAGAAGATATTGGACAAAGATGCTTGTCAAAACACTGCAATATAGACTTTGATTTCCACATATGGTTATTCATTACCAGTCACTGAAGGGCAGGAATCATAAACAGACATTTCTTGCCTGGAAAGTGAAGACAGTAGGTTTAGATTTTGTTAAGTTAGACAGAAAAAAGGGTACTCAGGACTATCAGTCACTTGGTTGAATTTCTCCACTTTTTAATCAGGTGTAGATAT
This sequence comes from Homo sapiens, assembly GCF_000001405.40. Classification (NCBI taxonomy): domain Eukaryota; kingdom Metazoa; phylum Chordata; class Mammalia; order Primates; family Hominidae; genus Homo; species Homo sapiens. Next base: position 67,723,260 of record NC_000012.12, read on the forward strand.
AGCCCATCAATAAAAGGGTCCAACTGCTGGAGTGGACATGAATTGTGGGAGGCTGGATACACTGTCCTAGATGAGGCATGATGCCACAGGGTAGGCAGAGAAGCCTTTCTGTCTTTTCTTTTCTTCCCTAGACAAACAGGAAATGTTTAGCTCACCTAATTTAAAACTAACTATGGGTAACTTCAACATTTACTTCATAAATACAGCAAATTTGAAACGCTTTGGACTCGAGGTCCCAGAACCTGATTTTAATTTTGGTTCTGGGCCAGGCGTGGTGGCTCACACCTGTAATCCTAGAACTTTGGGAGGCTGAGGCGGGTGGATCGCTTGAGCTCAGGAGTTCAAGACCAGCCTGGGCAACATGGTGAAACCCCATCTCTACAAAAAATACAAAAATTAGCCAGGCATGGTGATGCCTGTAGTCCCAGCAACTTGGGAGGCTGAGGTGAGAGGATGGCTTGAGCCGGGGAGGCGGAGGTTGCAGTGAGCCATGATCGTGCCACTGCACTTACAACCTGGTCAACAGAGCCAGATCCTATCTCAAAAAATAAAAATGAAACAAAATAAAATAAATTTTAGTTCTGACATCCTTTCTTCATCTGAAAAGGAGAGGGTCAGAGTAAATGATTATAATGATTTTTCCTCTAAGATTGTGTGAGTCTAATGACTAAAATGATTTATATCTACAATGTACTCTGTTATGAGAGATACAGGATTAGGACGGGACTTGAACTGGAGATGGAAAACTTTAAGATGTCAGAAATACTTGGAGAAACATGGGAAATATGGGAAGATAGGTAGGTAATAAGAGGAACCTTAGTCAAAAATATCCTCTTATTGCTTCTCCCATTCCTTGGGGCTGTGGAATGAGGGACATATTTTGCCACAATCATTAGCTGATTCAATGTTGTTTGCAGCTCTAATATCTGTTTCTTGAGAAGCTTTCTTCTGAATGAGACAGTCACAGCAGCAACTCGCCACAAGGAGAAATGATTTTCTGGTTATTGGTGGAGGTAGCCAAAGCACCATCACGCCACGGGCAAGATAAAATCAAGTCTAAGATTGCAGATTCTCCATCCTTGATTTTTAAGATTCTCCTCTTAAATAAAGGACATGCAATCACCATACATGGACCTATGAAATGTGATTCAGAACCAGGGAAGATGTAAGAATCAGGAACTAAACATTAGCCACTGCCGTGAAGCATCTAAATGAAGGTGTCTGCTTTCTGGTTTTCTACGTCATATTTTTCAATGTGTTGAAAAAAGAAAAAGGGGAGTCTGGCTTTCAAGAAAATAATAGTCTTAAAATTCTCTGCTAGGTGAGAGTTACATGGATCTGGATGGATTTACCTATTGTTTTTCTTTTGTGGCTTGAACCATCCAGTATAGCAAGCAGAAAGGAATTTTATTATTCTGCTTTGACACTGGAAACAGTAGCTCAGCACAACACTTCCTACAGGCCCTCAGTGTGTCCAAGTCTTTCGTATACATTATTTAGCACTCACAAAAGCTCTGTGAGATTGGTGAAATGGCCCCCATTTTGATGTGAATATATTATAGCAACTCTGAGATGTATGTCAAGGTTCCCTAGGGATCCCACTCAGGTCTCCTCACTTCAAGTCAGATATATTTTGAGCCACTACTCAGCTTCTGGACTCATCTGGAAAGAGGCATGGCTGTGAAAAGAGAATGGACTTGGCTCAAGAGCAAGTCAAGAAACCAACCAGGTAAAGACTGAAAACATTGAGGCTAGCCCAGCCTCAAGACATCAGTGTATATTGGGACCATTAATTGTACAGCGTCTGCTGGGACAATGATGTGCACATCACAGCCTAGTGGGTTGAATAAATGAGTGAATGATACATGTATTTGCCTCTCTCTCTGGAAGGCAGAGTAAATATATGGAAGTTTGTCCAAAAGAATGAATATTTCTAAACATAAATTGAAATGCTAATTTCGAATAGATCCCTTTGCCTTCCTTTCTGAAAATGAATTTTGATCTAACTAATTAGATTGTTCCTATAACTTAGGTAAATTTTTCAACCTTATTTCAAGTGTTAACTTTTGAGGACTGGAATATAATGATGAGTGACCACATGCCCTGATAAATCTTGAGCTTACCAGCATAAAAAGGAAACTGCATAAGCTTGTGTAATTTATCAGAATTACCAAAAGAAAACTGGCACGCAAACCAACAATTTTCCATTAGCTTGAATTGTTTGCTAGATAGGAAAGTCAGTTAAGAACAAATCTTCATATTCTAATAAAGATTTTACTTCGCATAGGTAGCTTTACATGTTATCAAGGAATGGCACTCCCTTTCTAATAGATTAAAGGCATCAAACAAAGGGTTTACAATTGAACAGATCCAGTGCTATCAGAATTTGCTTTCTCAAGTGTAAAATATTTCAGACCATAGATAAGAGTCAGGGTAAAGATAAAAGTAGTATCTACAAATAGGTTAAAAAATTAAAAACTTGAAGGAAGTAAAGACCCAAAAAACTTTTAATTATAAATTATTGAAAACAAACACCAACCATGAAGGAATAAGGTTAAAAAAGTATGGCATATCAATTCAGTGGATATATGATATTATGAATTATGATGCTGATGTCTCTCTATTTTTATACATGTTTCCATGTCATTCAATTTATGCATCATACTCTTATCTAGAAGAGAAAGAAGGACTTAATGAGAATCACAGATGCAGAGCTACATGTATTCGCATAGAAAAATGTCCAAAAGTATTGTTGACTAGAAAGGCCAAGTTGAGGACATTATGTCCAATCGCATTTACATGTACATGTTCATAGAAAGAAGTCCCAAAGGCAAAATGTAAATCTTATCTTCAGGACAAGATTTTGTCTTCAGCAAAATATAAATAAATGGTGGCTGTCTTCAGAGAAGGGGAGTTCAAGTGATTTCTACTGTCTTCTTTGTGCTTTTCTGCACTATTTGAATTTTTATATGAAGCATATATCACATTTTGGAAGAAAGAAAGCTAGACGGCATTAAAAAAAAAAAGCAGAGTAATAATCATTAGCAGTAGTGGCAGCAGTTGGTTTGAAAAAGTAAAAACCTTTCTCAACAGAATAACAGATTTGTAAAGGCACTTCAATTTGGTGGCCTTGTGTTAAATTATTTTTTCTACCACTTGAATGGTGTGTATAAATATAGGCTCTGAATGGAATTCCACCAAGATATTAAGATAAAAAGCAGAATATAAAGATGAAATTTCAGCCAAACATCTGAAACCTTAGTCTAAATAATACCAAATGTTTATCTGTTTTCTATCATGTACGAAAAGTACATAAATAATGAAGTTTTCATTTGTCATGCAGACATTGTTAGAATTATCGAGCTACAGCCCAGAGGGAAGGGAATGAGGTAAGGGCGTTTTATTTTGCTCCTGTTTTTTTGGAGACATTTGTAAGCAAAAGAAGTAACAGGGTCAGTAACATCTCAAACACAAAGGAAGTTTCAATGCACAGGACATCATCAGATATATGTTTCAGACCTAGTGACAAAATTCAAACAGCACTTCATTGTTAGAAATAGAAGATTACCCAATGCTCAAATCCCAGTTTGATGCTCAAGAGATACAAGGATATAGGGAAAAAACCAAACTGTTGCTTCCTGCTCTCTACTCTGTACTCTCGCAGTCAGTCAACACTTCTGACACCAGGTGTGTGGGTGTTTTTCTAACATACCAACCGAAACAAGTCTGCAAGGAATTCTCCTGTGGGCACTGGCTGGGTATGTTCTAATTCAATCCAATTATGACACTATCTACCTAGAGATAGCATCAGATACCACAGGTTGATGGCTCAGTCCCACAGGATTACCCCCCTCTTCAGATGCCAGTCACGAGCAAGTTGTGACCTGTGCTTCTGACCCATGGCACCTCCTTTGGTTTGATTAATTTGCTAGAGCAGCTCACAGAACTAAGAAAAATGCTTTACTTATGTTTACTGGTTTATTGATATAGAATATAATATAGGACACAGGTGAACAGCCAGATGGAAGAGATGCGTGGGGTAAGGTTTGGGGGAAGAGGTGGGAGCTTCCATGCCTTCCCCATGCGCACCACCTTTGGGGAACCTCCATGTGTTCAGCTATTTGGAAGCTCTCTGAACCCTGTCCTTTGGGGTTTTTATGGAGACTTTATATGTAGACATGATTGATTACCATCATTGGCCATTGCAGATCCACTCAACCTTCAGCACCTTTCTCCTCCCCAAAGGTTGGGGAGTGGGCTGAAAGTCCTAACCCTCTCATTGTGTTTTGGTCTTTTCAGTGAGCAGGCCCATCCTGAAGCTACCCAGGGGCTGGCAGCTACTGGCCATCTCATTAGCATACAGTGACACTATTGTCACTCTGGAGACCCCAGAGGTTCTAGGAGTTGTGTGTCAGGAAGCCGGGAGGAAGACCAAAGATATATATCTTATTAGAAACCACAATATCTCAAGAGGTTTAAGATTTAAATGGTTATCTTTCACTTTATCTATTCAGAAATTTGGTCTGCAAGAGTTTAATGTTATAAAGATTAGCAGACAACTAGAGAGAACTAGATTTTGGATTAAGCAGGAACAACTCTCCTCCCTGACGATTTATTATTCTCTGCCTTGAATAAGCACTGGCATTAGAAAGCTAAACCACAGAACACATACAGAATATTAGTATTCAGTAAATAATCATGATTGCAGTCACCAAGTGCAGACAGTCTGCAGTGGGAGTGTTCCCGGTCTCCCTTAAAATACTGCAGCTGTTACATTAATGGGTGAGGATCCAGGGTAATATCAAGGAACAAAGATTGTTGAGTTTGATTAGTTCTAGTGGATGTCATCTTCAAAATGCAACTAATTTGATAATACCAGAGCATTTCTGAGGGAAGAAGGAAAACAAGGATAATGTTATGTAAATAGACATTATTATTTTCATCTCTTTGGATGAAACCGTTGACATAAACCATTCTAGAAGCAAAATGAAGCAAGGAAGTGAGAAATGAGTGAAGCAGCCCTTTCTGTCTGTAAATAATTGCAGGGTGGGCTGACAGCTCTGGGCCAGAGGCTGTAGAGTGGGCCCAAAGCAGGCTGGCTTCCCCCTAGTAATTGTCATAGTAGCTAGCATTTATGGATGTTTAATATATTCCAGGCCCTTTCCTAGCTGTTTCACATGGATTATGTAATTTAATCTTCACTGCCATCCTGCAAAGTAAGTACTATTATCACTGTCATTTTACAGATATGAAAATTGAAGCTTGGGAACGTTAGGCAACCTCTCAAGGTCACACAGCAAGGAGCGGAGCTGGCATTTGGACTCAGGCCTACGGCCTCCTGAACACACTACATTCTATTGTTTCTAAAAGCTTGCTAGGTAAGAAGGGCCTTATTATTTATAATCCACCAGGGGCTTCATCCTCTAGTTTCAAATTGAGCCGCTTTTTTTCTAATTTGATGGCTTAGAAATAGTCACTGTCAAGCCAAGACCATTTTTATGCTGTTGTGTTTGAAATACTCTCCTTCCACCTGTCTCCTTTCCCACCTCCCCTAGTTCTTAAAGCTGGTCTACAGAAGAATTAAATATCTACCTAATTTGAAAACAAGAGGGAAGGATGGCCCTGGAAATGCTTAGAACTAAAATTTGGGTTTTGAACCTACTGGCAGTATTCTTGCCTTACTCAGTCTAGTGACTTGAAGATGGCCAGTGGACATTAAATGTTCCTGGAGACTTGAATCACTATTAAAGCCCAACTCATCCTTGGTTCAAATTCTTTTATAAAATAAGAACAAAGTTTACGCAGGTAGTAAATAAGTGGTAATGCATATTCAGCACTCAAGTCAGGCTTGATTATCTCCACTAACCTAGAGAAAGGTTAATATGAGAGTGTGCATCCAATTTTCCTGCTCCCATTGAGGGAAATAAGGTGGTTTCATCTAGACGTTTGAGCCTCAACTCTTTCTACTTTTTAGTAAATAATTTGTTTGTTCTCATTCTTTGGAAGATGAATTCTTTTTGAAAACATTGACCTCTTTTATCGCTTTTGGTTGTCTATTGTCTTTGTCCATTGTCTGTTGCTGTAACAGAATACATGAGACTAGGTAATTGTTTTAAAAAAGAAATTCATGTCTTACAGTTCTGGATGCTGGGAAGTCCAAGGTCGAGGGTCTGCCTCTGGTTGCTTCTGGTGAGGGCATTGTGTTGTGTCATAACTGGCAGAAAGCATCACAGAGAGCCAAACTGGCTTTTATAACAGACCCGCCCTCTGATAACTAAACCAAGCCTATGATAACACATTAATCCATTAACCCATTAATCCAGTAATCCATGAATGGATTAGTCCGTTCATGAGAGCAGAACCCTCATGACCCAATCACTTCTTAAAGGCCCCATTTATTAATATGGTTACACCGGGGATTGTGTTTCAGCTTGAATTTTGGAGGGGAAAAACATTCAAACCATAGTAAATGTCTAAATCAGGACATTACATTTTTCATTAATGGTAACTATTACCATCAGAATTACTGAAATTTATTTGTAGAGAAAATTTCAGATGTCCTCAAGATATCCTCAAGGTGGTCACAATTCTGTTAATAAATTATTAATCAAAGTGCTAGATCACTGAGATTTTAGTTAAGAAATCATTCTAAAAGTTCTCCTACTAAATCTGATAAAATCATTTTTCAGAGAGAATACAAATTTAAAAGTATAGTGTTGAGCAATGGAACTCATAACATTCATGTCTGAGTGCTAGGTTAGACCTAGAAGATGCTGAAAAATCTATAGTTTGAGTGGATAGGCACAATGGTGCTTCTTATTATTAAAATAGAAAAAGTGACTAAAACATCTTTTTCCAATTGGAGAGGTCTTGTTTCCTTTACCGTATTCAGCTTCCATAATGAAATTTGTATTCCTGCTTTAGTTTTTGTATCTTGTCCAGATTTTTACTCAAAATATTAGTCAAGTCATGTATTTTCACTGTTTCTCACTATTTAATTAGGTCCAAAATCTAACCATTTTATTAAGTACAGATGAATTACCAATATGTCTTCATGAACGACTCCTGGGAGATAATGAGCAAGGGGAGATTTCTATTAGGAAGAAGAAAGAACTGAACTAGTGAGCTGGATCTACATGTCTCCTGCTAAATTTAAAGGCTGCCTGGTTCTTTTTGCTTGTTAAAAGTCAATTAAGCAACAGGTTTTTATTGAGCATAAAATATTCTGGGCAAGGTAATGTGCTAGATATATTGCAACATAGTGGGAAGGGTAACACCCCACGTTTAAGAATTTAAGTCAGGAGATGAGAAATATGTACATAAAAGTATTATTAAGAATATAAGGTAATTCAAAGCAGATGGAGAATAAGAAGAAAAGAATATAAGGTAAATGTGAAATATTAGTATGAGCAGTAAGTGCTGAAAGAATTCAGAGACTAAGAGTTTGCTTCTGGGTAATCTGGAGAGACTTCATGGAGGAGGCAGGATCCAATATGTACTGGGAAGGATGGTGTGGTGGCTGAATTAGTTGCCTAACCAGCATCTATTCACTCTTCTTTTCATACTTTAGAAACCATCCCACATACAGCACACTTGTTTCAGGGAAAGCAAACTCCCTCTTAAGCTCCAAGGGAGAATCCTAATTAGTCTAATGCCAAGCCAGTGATAGTAACATCTCTTCCCTCATGATTCATTCAGAGAACTAGGCTTATGCCAATCAGTAAATTGTAGTTCCTTAGCAATTGGCATTGATCTAGGAATGGGCACAGGAGTGCAGCACACTTATCTCAGGAAAAGCAAACTCCATCCAAGTTTGGGTCCAAGCAGTCTAAGAGGAAAGATGTTTATTTCATGATTGGGCATCAGATTGGTACTCTCTCCCACTGGACATGAAAAAGACATCATCAGTTGCCCCAGTTTCTTCTGGTGACCATGTTAAGAGATGGCATGAAGACAAAGCTGATACCTGCAGGAAGGCTGAGGCTGGAGAACAGGGGAGATGCAGATCTGGAGCCCGTTCCTGTGGTGCCTGAAGTTTGATCTGCCTCCAGATCACCTATTGTGTGAAACAATATATTCTCTCAATGCTCTAGCCAGTGAGAGAAAGGCTTTCTGTAACTTTCAGCCAAAATCATCCTGTCTTCAATAGTAGAGTGGACATAAGCCGGTTGCCCTCTTGGCATTTCTTTCCCTTTTTTCTTGGCAACAGAACCCTGGTTTTATTTTGGAGATCCCTCCTCCACCATTTTGCCATGTGGTTTGAACAGGAGAGATGTTCTTTCAGCTCCAGATGGCAGTTCTCTGGATGCAGTGATTGATTCAGACATGGGCACAAGAGAAACAAGGAAAATTTGCTGAGGCTTTTGAAAAGAAGTTTTTGCTCTTTTGCATGGGAGCTGCCAGATACATGGTTCTCTATTCTCCTGGATGGCCCATGAGCAACGGGGGCCTGTGTTAGTTTCCTAACACTTCTGTAAGAAATCACCACAAACTGGCTGTCTGCAAACAACAGACATTTATTCTCTCATAGTTCTCGGGGCTGGAAGTCCAAAATCGAGGAGCTGACAGGTGATGTGCCTTCTGAGGTGCCTCTGAGGCTTTAGGGAAGAACTCTTCCTTCCATCTTCCTAGCTTCTGGTGGTTGATGGCAATCCTTGGTGTTCCCTGGCTTGTGGCTGCCTCAGTCAAATATCCGCCACTGTCCTCACCTGGCCTTCTCCCTCTGTGTCTCTAAATCCATATTCCTTTCTTCCTGTAAGAACACCAGTCACCGGACTAGGACCCATCCTAATTCAATATGACCTCATATTAATGCAATTACACTGCCAAGATCCTATTTCCAAATAAGGTCACATACTCAGGTCCCAGATGGACAGGAATCTGGGGGGAACACGATTCAACTGAGCACAGGGTCTAGAACTCTTGCAGCCATTTCTGCTATTCTGAAGGAAACCAGCCTGAGAATGAAATCAACACACAGAGCCAAGATCATCTCAAAATAAATGACATCATGAACTTCTGAATCAAACTGTGCCTGAATGTGCTTTACTTTGGACTTTTAGTTTACTTGAGCCAAGAAATTTCTTTTTGTTTAATCCACTTTGTGTTGGGTTTTCTTTTGCTAGTTACAAAAATATTTTAATGAATAAAAGTGGATATGAATTTGGTGACAGGAGGAAAAGCTCTTGCTGAACAATAGAAAATGGCATGAGAAAAAAATCAAGAGGATAAAATAAAAGGAGTGTTGGAGAAAAGGTTTGGCTAGAGGAGAGTATTCATTAGTGGAGCAGGGGACATAAAGGTGGATAGTTTAGCTAGTGTAAGTTTTTGGAGGTCTGTAAATGTCAAGTTAAATAATTTGAACTTTTTCTATAGAGCAGATGGTGTCTATAAGACAATTTTTGAACAAGGAAGTTGAATCAATTAATGTGCCACTGAAGTGCAGGCTATTTTGGAAGGGGACAGATTAGGAGAAGAAGTATTAATTGCAAGAGGCTAGAATCAGATTAAAATGTGTTGCTCTGATGTTTCCCAATTCAATCAAGCGTCCAGCCATAGATCGTAATTTCTGGACTGGGATTTAGTCCATGCCTATTCCTCTGAACTCATTCCGTCCCACTTGCCCACCCTGATCTTCTTCCTGTCCCCAGAAGAGACCACAATGATTCTACATTTGGGCCTTTGCATTGGCTGTTTCCCCGGCCTGAAATGCTTTTTCTTCTTGATCTTTGTATGTCTGGCTCCTTCTTGTCATTCAATTCTCAGGTCAGCTGTTAACCTCATCAGAGAGGACTTTCCTGACCGGTCGGTCTAGGGTAGCCACCTGTCCCTCTCTATCATACTGCCCTACTTTGATTCTTTACAGCATTAGCACCACCTGCTATTTTATTATTTATTTATTTATTTATTTATTTTTTAGTTCTTCCTCTCCCCTAACTACAAAGTAACCTTCAGAAGAGTAAGGAACTTGGCAGTCTTTTCATTGCTGTATCCTTAGAACCTAGTAGGAGCTCAGTAATTACATCTTGTATAAATGATTAAGTAATATATTTAGCTATGAAGTTTTAAAGTTGCTGAAATATTGAATAAATACATAAATTCTAGAAGAGTGGCAAAATTAAATGATTTTGCCAACTGAGAGATAAATAAAATATTTTAAATATAAATTTTACTCAAAAAGCAGGCAGGCGTGGAAGAACTAAAGTATGTAAGTATTTTTCTCAATGTTCCAAAGAAACGAGGATAATTTTTAAAACATCGCTCTTGTCTCTTTAGGCTGTTTCCACCAGAAATGCCTTGGGCATAAAGAAAAGCCCTGGGGAGCTTTGAGGGAATGTATTTAAGCCTTTCTGTTTCCATTTTTCCCCAGTGGCAGTTTCATTTCAAGGCCAGTGTTCTATAACTAGCTCTAGGTTTCTAGAGCAATCTACGTCTCTGAAATGATTTGGAGTAAGACACATTCTCTGTTTTATTGTATCTATGATGGAACCCCTCCTCCCTCCCATTTCTTCTCTAGTAAGTAGAAACTTGTGTGTTATTTGCCTCCACAAAAGGGGTTTTGACCTTAGCATGAAGCTATCCTACCATTAATCATTATCTTCTTTTCCTTGAAATACGCCATGGGGCATTTACCAGCCCATTATGAAAAATTTTTGTCACATAGAATGAAGCCCAAACAAGCCTTAGCAAAGTAATAAAGGGGAGCATTCTATGATGCAGAGAACTTCCTAAGGCTGCCTTTCTTTATTAGTCTCCCAGGCTGCAATTACTTATAATATACCAGTGTGACTTTTTCTGAGATTATAATGAATGAGCTTATGTATATTACTGATTTGCCTCTTTAAGCTGAATTGGCTGGTAAATAATTTGAAGTTGCTTATCCAGGCCATGCGGAAAAATACTAGAGTGTTGACTTGAAGGAATGGGCCAGCCTGGGTGAACTGGCTACTAAATTCAAATGATAAATATAATAATAGCTCAAAAGAGATACACATGATACACATCTGAATTCACTGCCAGTCAAGTTTGGGAATGAAATTCTAAAGGCTTCATGATTTTGGTTTGCTAAAACGTTTGTAGTGAATACTATTTGAAATTACTAGTATGTTGGCTGGGATTTAGAAATCTTTAAGTCACGCAGAAGTTTTTGTTTTTCTCCCTCCCTCCCTCCTTCCTCTTAATAGTTTCATTACTTATAATGGCATTTAATCAGGGATGTCTTTTGAATAAATACCCTTAAGGAAGGCCTCTTTAAAAGTAAGAACTTCAAGGGAATTAATGGAGTTATATAATAATGAAATACATTTTATAACTATTTGCATAGTTTAAAATGTTTGACCAGTACCATGCATTTTCAAATTAAATAATCTTTTCTTTTTCTTTTTCCTGGAGAATATGTAGTTCTGTCATAACTACTGTAATTTGTAAAAGTTGTAAAGAACCATTTTAAATAGGCTAAGATGTATACTGGAAAAGTTAATGTACCACAAACTAAATATGTGTAAGTTTATCATGAGATGTGTGTGTATTTTAGAAATCTCAGCAAAATTTTTGCATTTAATTGAGCAGTCACATTGGAAAGCTATTAATTTATTTCAGCAATGTTGCATTTTCCAAAATATTTTTGGGCTGTGTCTTTGTAATTAAGAACTTATAGCATGTTCTTTTGAATATTGTTAATGGCAGATTTTCTTCCATCAAAGACTGATTTGAATGTTGGAAATAGTCAAAATGTATTTGTTCTTAAATCAGTTTTATAAAATAAAAGATCAACTTGTGTTATAATCTTTGGAACTGTAGACATAGCAATACAAGAACATAGGATTTTAAAGCTATTTCATTAATTTTCTTGAGTGGTTCAGAGTGCATCTGAAGTCACTTTTCGAATTGCGATAAATATTTGTTTCCTATTTGATTGCTGTTTAATTTACTTCTATGCTATAGAGGAAAATGTTTTAGATTCCCAGTAATCATCTGACATAATTACTCTTTTGGAGCTCAGGAATCCCTTTACCACTGCAGTACAGAAAAGAGCATCTGCAGATATTCAGGTGTATTTTAAAGGCATCTCATCCCCCGTCCCTGCATAACTCAGATTTATGCAACAGCAAGATGAAAACTACAAAATAAAATAGAAACACACTGTTGAACTCCATGTTCCTGAGATAAAAATCTGTCTTTTAAATATGCATCTCTGAGTGCTCTACAATGAATAAAGACAAATGTATAGGGGACCAAGACTCATCATTGGTGAAACAAAAATATAATGGGAAGTTTATGGGTTGCAGGCACAGACACAGGGAAAACTGCACTTGAATGAGAATAGGTTCACCAACCACTTCATTACTCCTGATTGTATCCACACCCTTGATTCATTTATTCAACAAACATATATTGAGCATCTCCTAGGTGCCAGGCACTGTTCCACTGTTCTTAAGGGCTAAGGTTCTGTCGTCGAACATACCTTTCCCTGTTCTCATGGAGCTGACATTATGGTGGCAAGGACAGACACAATTAATTAATTATATATTTTTAGATATAGTGTAGTTGTGTGTGTGTGTGTGTGTGTGTGTGTGTGTGTGTGGAGAGAGAGACAGAAAGAAAGAATAATTATAAGTAGTTGTAAAAGGTATGAGGAAAAGTTCAGTAGAGAAGGAGATAGAAAGTGATGTGGGCATTATTTTAAAGAGGGCTCTTGGAGACAGCCTCTCTGGGCGAGGTTGGGAGGTATTTGAGGTGAAGCCTGGATGACATTACAGAGCCAGCCTTGCCAATATTGGGAGATAAGCATTCCAGGCAGAAGCAACAAACAGGAAGAGGCTCTGAGGTGGGAGGGGCAGCTTGGGGTGATTGAGGACAAGCAAGGAGACCAGGGTGAATGGAGTGGACGGAGCAGGTGGGGGCTGGTGGGAGACAATGTCTGAGATCACCAAGGGCTCAGACCGTAGCGGGTTTGAAGGCCCTGTGAGGACTTGGAATTTTTTTGGAGTACAAAAGGGGGCCATTGGAGAGATTTTAGCCAGAGCAGTGACATAATCCAATTTCATGTTTTTAAAGACTCTCCTGTTAAATTTTGTATTTTTAAATAAATTCTCTGCATAATAATGATACTAAAATTTATTGTTTTCCATGTGCCAGGCACTGTGCCAGGCATTTCACATGGGTGCTTAGAATAAAATCCAACTCCTTTCCATATCTTACTGGTATGAGTTGAATTGGGTCTCTCCAAAAAGATCTGTTGAAGTCCCAATCTTCTCTACCTCTGAATGTTGGTCTTATTTGGAAATAGGGTCTTTAAAGAGATAATTAATTCAAACAAGGTTAAAATTAGGGTAGACCCAATCCCATATGACTGGTGTCCTTATAACAAGGGGAAATGTGAACATTGACAGATATGCGCAGAGGGAGGCCTATGTGATAAGCCACAGGGAGAAGGCCACGTGAGGTAGAGGATTGGAGTGATCAATCTACAATCCAAGGAACACCAAAGATGACAGGCAAGCCACCAGAATCTAGGGGAGAGACTGGGAACACATTCTCCCTCACCGCCCTCAGAAGGAACCACCTTGGTTCTGACACCTTGGTGTCAGACTTCTAGCCTCTGGCATTGTGAGAATAAATATTATTTTAAGCCACCCAGTTTGTGGTATTTTCTTATGGCAAAACCCTAGGGCACTACTACAGTCTCCTTCTCCCTAGCCCGTTAGGGTCAGTCACACTGCTCTCTTCTATACATGCCTTCAGGCCCTCTGCTTAGAGCAAAAGCCCCAGGGTTCACCCATGGCCAGCTCCTTCCTGTCCTTCAGGTCCCAGGTCAACAGCACCTGGTCTCCTGATCTAAATAAGCACCCCACTTCTACTCCTGGGCACCCTACCCCTCTACTGAAGGACTCCCAACAGTCCCTATTTTAGTTATTTTTTTCATAATACACCCACTACCTGAAACAATCCTGTTAGTTTTTTTTTTTATTTGTTTACTGTCTGTTCCTCATCTGCTCCTGTTCTGTTCCCCACCTAGAAAGTCAGGTAAAAGAGCAGGAAGTTTGCCTTCTTCAACACAGAAATCCCAGTGCCTGTAAAATATCCTGGTACACAGTGGGCACTTAATAAATGTTGATTGAATGAATGTGTAATCCGGATTCTAGTTACTCTGAGGTTTAATAGAAATTGGTGGAAGCCCCTCTCCCACATCTTGAGGAAATACCCAGGGTCCTCCTTAGATTTCTATGACTTTCTAGGGATTCACATTCCATGGGACCCTTTGGCCTGAATCTCTGTCTCACCCACACCCTGTCTCCGTGGCTGGTGCCTTCTGTGTCCTCTGCACCCACCCAGATGGGGGCACGTGGCTCCTTTCCTTGACTTCCCTCTCAAGCTACTCTGCATGAATGTGTGTGTGTGTGCACCAGACTTTTCTGAAGCTTTGGAGTAACAGAGGGAGTTTACATCACAGAAAAACAGAAAATCTAACATTAGACAGTAGACATTGATTTTCTTTGTAAAATTATTTGGCCTCCTCACCTTTGAGAAAGTCTTCTCTGGTGCCTTTCTCCTAAGCCTCCCAAGCTGTGCAGCTTTCTTCCCTACTCCTTTTACCCTCTTTCCTTTCCTCCCTTCAATGTTTCCTTCCAAGTCCTGCTTATGTATGGTGCAGAGAAGTTGATCATTTTCATTATTTTTCTTGCATTATTCCAGCCCTTGGCCCCAGCCCCATCCCAAGCCCCTTGATATATATCATTTTCCTACACCAGATAGTTCTGTCTGGTAGTATGACTCTGGTGCCAGCTGGTAAAATTATTATTATTATTATTATTATTATTATTATTTTGAGACGGAGTCTCGCTCTGTCGCCCAGGCTGGAGTGCAGTGGCACAATCTCGGCTCACTGCAAGCTTCACCTCCCGGGTTCACGCCATTCTCCTGCCTCAGCCTCCCGAGTAGCTGGGACTACAGGCGCCCGCCACCACGCTCGGCTAATTTTTGTATTTTTAGTAGAGACGGGGTTTCACTGTGTTGGGGTTTCACTGTGTTAGGGTTTCACCGTGTTAGCCAAGATGGTCTCTATCTCCTGACCTTGTGATCCACCCGCCTCGGCCTCCCAAAGTGCTGGGATTACAGGCGTGAGGCAGGTAAAATTATTTTTAATTTTACTACATTTCAAACAGTTATCTCATTTTATTGTCACAATAACAACCCAATGGAATATATCCTACTAATATCTCCATTACTTATGAAGAGAATGAGAATGGTTAGAAATTTTAAGCAATTTGATAAACATCAAATGACACTGTTAAGACTGGAACCAAAATCCTGGGCTTGTAACATGAATAATGAATATTATATACGTATATAAAAATACAAACTTTATGCAATTATAATTACATATATTATGTATATATACACATGTACATATGAATATACATTTTAATAAACTGTCAAATTATGTATACAATTCATCCAAAATATAATTCAGTTTACCTCAATTGTTACTTCTTTTGTCCTTATAGAGTCTTATGTTAAATTCATCAGGTTTGTTTGTTTGTTTGTTTGTTTTTGAGATGGAGTCTCGCTCTGTTGCCCAGGCTGGAGTGCAGTGGTGTGATCTTGGCTCACTGCAACCTCTGCCTCCCGGTTCAAGCGACTCTCCTGTTTCAGCCTCTGAGTAGCTAGAATCACAGGCATGCAGCAATATGCCTGGCTATTTTTTGTATTTTTAGTAGAGACGAGATTTCGCCATGTTGTCCAGGCTGGTCTCGAACTGCTGATGTCAAGTGATCTGCCCACCTCGGCCTCCCTATGTGCTGGGATTACAGGCATGAACCACGGCACCTGGCCGTCTTCAGGTATTTTTAAGGGACCTGGGAGAGTCTAATTACATTATCCTGGTGCCAAGATTGAGGGGACCAGAAAGGCTTGAAGAATATGGGGTCTGGAATTAGACATACCTGGGCTCGAATACATGTCTGGCCCTGGCACTACATAGCTATGCGAACTTGGACAAGCCTCTTAACCCTGAGCCTTAGTTTCTGCATCTATAAAATGGGAATAATAGCAGTATCTATATCATAGTGTTGTTTAGAGGATTAAATAATACTGCATGTAAGGTGCTGGAAGGTGTGTGGTAATATTTGTGAAATGGTACCCTATGCATATAACATACACAACCTTAGCTAGCAACTCTGAAATAAAAAGTGAAAAGCCAGGCCGAGTGCAGCAGCTCACACCTGTAATCCCAGCACTTTGGGAGGCCAAAGTGGGGGAATCACAAGGTCAGGAGTTCAAGACCATCCTGACCAATATGGTGAAACCCCATATTGCTCTACTAAAAAAATACAAAAATTAGCCTGGTGTGGTGGTGCACACCTGTAAGTCCCAGTTACTCGGGAGGCTGAAGCAGGAGAATCGCTTGAACCCGGGAGACGGAGGTTGCAGTGAGCCAAGATCGAGCCACTGCACTCCAGCCTGGGCAACAGAGTGAGACTCCATCTCAAAAAAAAAAAAAAAAAAGTGAAAATCCTTGTTTAGTGTTGACAATAATATATCTTTAAGAGAAATAAATCAAGATCAAGTTCAGAAAAGTTTGCTTTCCAGATTTGTATGTTAAAAAAAACCCAGCCTCTCCCTAAGTTATCGATTTCTCTTATGAGCTACAACTTCACAATGTTCTTAGCAATAGCCTCAAATTTAATGACTCTCAGTCACAGGCAGAGCCATCACAAGTGACACTTGGGAATAGAAATTTCATTTAAAAGGGAGTAGGCTTTCGTATTTAGGAATCAAGGTCACCAAGATACTGAAAATTATCTTTAATTTATATTAATTTTACTTATATTTTCATAGGCAAACTGCAATAATGGTATACACAATTCATAGTTTTATGAAGACATGGGTTAGAAATTCTTATAGAGACTTAATCCTTCTTGCATTAAAAACTTTTAAAATATGTGAATCATGGAATTATTTTACTTTTTTTTTTTTTTTTTTTTTTTGAGATGAAATCTCGCGCTGTTGCCTGGGCTGGAATGCAGTGGCACGATCTCGGCTCACTGCAACCTCGGCCTCCCAGGTTCAAGTGAATCTCTTGCCTCAGCCTCCTGAGTAGCTGGGATTACAGGCACCCACCACCACGCCCGGCTAATTTTTTGTATTTTTAGTAGAGACTGGGTTTCACTATGTTGGCCAGGCTGGTCTTGAACTCCTGACCTCGTGATCCGCCTGTCTTGGCCTCCCAAAGTGCTGGGATTACAGGCATGAGCCACCGCGCCCAGCCTATATTTTACTTTTTAATATCATATCCTATATTAGAAATACCAATGTAAACATGTTACTTCCTGTGAAATGTAAAAAATACTTGGGAAATGATTTGATAGGAAATAAATGAGATCTGGGAGCTGAAAAATTATTTAACAAATTCAGATTTTTTCAAGATATAATTGGGTTTAAGTGTGATTACCAACAGCTTGCAGTTTTTTTAAGTTAATGGGTAAGAAGTTAAGCAGTCCCTAGGTTATCAACAAATCTGAAATTAACCATTACTTAAAACCAGGATTTAGCAAAAATGACTGGTAAAGATCTCCTCTTATTTTTCTGGTTCCCACTGTGGAGAAAGTGCCAAGAAACAATAGAGGGGAGGAAAATGGATGAGTCTGGAGCAGCTCTGGCACCGCAGGGGTGATGCATTGTTCATTCAGTACATGGGAAAGCAAACATATGGTAGAAAGTGCTTTATAAATCCAAAGGAATTTGTTGTTATTTGTTACTATTATTTGTATTATATTACCATGAATGAGTCTCTATTTCTCAGAGCAGATTTTTAAAAAGCAGGTTTAAACACCAGTGAGTGTTAAGTTAGGAAAAAACCAAGCAAGGATTTTTTTTTAAAAAAACATAGATGGTTATTTAAACAATATGCGAGTTAATGGTAACCTCAGAAACATAATCTTTGAAAGTCTTCAAAAGGTGAGTCTTTCTGGGATGTCTGAACTGCATGCCTTGCTGAAGGAGAGAGGCCAGCTTTGCATGGTGTCAGGACCTTGTTTTGCTTAAAATCATGCAACTCACTCAGAATCAAGCTATTTGCCTAGAATGCTAAAATGCTAGAAGAAAATGAAGCATCATTTTACATGTTTTATACAAGAATCATCATTTTGAAAGACGTGTTCAAAACCTGAATCATCCACTAACAATGCTCAGGAGACCCTCTGTGGCAGTCAATTGTACTTTCTGCACCAAGCGAGATGATGAAAATGTGCAGATATTGGAAAGCCCTGGCTCCTCATCTGCAATGAAGAAGATATACTGTACACATACACCCATATACCACTGGAAACGGATAGGATGTGTTATCCCTCAGGACTGTATGTTTTCTTTAAAAATTCTTATTGTTTCATTAATTCAACAAATATGTATTCGTCAATGACCATATGTAGGACTGAGTTAGGAACTGTAGGAAACACAAGGGAATCGGTTATGGACGCCTTTCTTCAATAGCTTAGAGCAGAGGTCCCCAATCCCTGGGCTGTGGATGGGTGCAGGTCTGTGGCCTGTTAGGGACTGGGGCTCACAGCAGGCGGTGAGCAGTGGGCAAGCAAGCAAAGCTTCATCTGTATTTACAGCTGCTCCCCATGGTTCGCATTACTGCCTGAGCTCTGCCTCCCATCAGATCAGCGGTGGCACTAGATTTTCATAGAAGCACGAACCCTATTGTAAACTGTGCGTGCGGGGGTTCTAGATTGCACACTCCTTATGATAATCTAGCACCTGATGATCTGCCACTGTCTCCCATCACCCACCAGATGGGACCGTCTAGTTGCAGAAAAACAAGCTCAGGGGTCTCACTGACTCTACATTGCGGTGAGTTGTATAATTATTTCATTATATATTACACTATAATAATAATAGAAATAAAGTGCACAACAAATGTAATGCACTTGAATCATCCTGAAACCATCCCCCGCTTCCTGGTCTGTGGAAAAATTGTCTTTGATGAAACTGGTCCCTGGTGCCAAAACGTTGGGGCCTGCTGACCTAGAGTCTGGTCCAGGGTTTCTCAACCTCACACTGTTGTCATTTCTTTGTTGTGGGGGGTTTCTGTGCATTGTAGGATCTTTAGCAGCTACCCTCGCCTCTACCTACCGGCTGCCAGTAGTACCCCCCGTCTTGAGTTGTAGCAACCAAAACCATCTTCAGACCTTACTAAATATTCCCTGGGGGACAAAATTGTCTCCATTTGACAACCACTGGTCTTTTACAAATGATAAAACATATGCACACTTAACACAAAGATAGCAAATGATGACTGACAGGAAAGAAATACAGATAAACAAACGCTGTAGACATTCACAGGAGGCAATAATCACTTTCAGCTGAAGGCTTGCTGGGCAAGGAAGTGTTTACATTAGGCCTTGAGGAATTCCCAGGATTTAGAAATACAATTAAGAGGGCATTCCAGATGGAGGAAACAGCAGATACCAAGGAATTGAGGTACAGATGGAGTAGTTAGGAGTTTTGTTGGAAATCACATCAGATTGGCTATTGGGGCAGATCCTGGAGGATCAGATCCTCTGATTAAGGAGGGCATATTCTGCAGTGATGGGGACACAGCACAGTGCCTTAGTTCTGACTGGGACAATCCCCTATGGGTAAACTGTAGGTAAGATGTATTGGAGGTGAAATTAGGATGTTGAGAGCTGGATGGCAGGGTTGCCATGGACAGCAGATTACCAAGAGAGTCTAAGGAGACATTGTGAGTGTCAAGACTAGGAGAATATGGACCTTAGAAACATTTCAAAGTAAACTCAAAAAGACTAGGAGTAAAAATGAAAGAGGAATCAAATACGACCTAGCTGTTTGAAGCTTGGAGGTTATTATTAATAGAAATGGAAACTGTTGGAGAAAAGGAAAGTTAAGATTAGAGGGAGATAAATTCACTTGGGTCATGCTCAATTTGAGATGCCAGCAGGATACAGTGGTGAATATATCGAGGGCATTGGAAAACCCATTTCTGAGGTTTGGGAGGGAGATCAGAGCAAGGGGAAGATTTTGGAACAATAGGCTCTCATGGCTGTTTCCTCCTCTCTCTGTCACTATTTCTTACTTTATTTTTCTAGCTCTTCTTTCTTTTCCTTCCTCTGAATCTGTTGTTACTTGTTACTTCTCTTTCTCTATTATTCTTTGAATAATAGTAAGAAGAAGAAGAATAACAGCTGTCATTAGGTAAGCAACTGTTACATTGCAGGCAAGGAACGGTGTTTCCTGATGTCTTTGTCCTTCCTCCCACCAGTGTGTTCCTTCAGCTCACCTCCAGCCAGCACATCAGCCTCTTTTATTCCTAGAAAATACCTTACTTGTATTGCTAGTCTCATTTAACCTCTTTATAACTATCAGGTAAGGTCAAACTTATTATTTCCATTTTCAGATAAGAAAATAAAGGCCCAAATATATTAGATTAGTTCCCATGGACCTGACTGGTAGGTGACACAGATGATATTCACACACTGATCACACACTGAGATTATTCTCTTTCCACTAGAACAGGTATGGGTAAATTACTGCCTGTGGGCCAAATCAGACCCCCTCACCTGCTTTTCTATAGCCTATGAGCTAATAATGGTTTTTACAGAAAAGAATCAAAGAATAAATGATAATGTTTTGTGACATGGGAAAATTATATGAAATTCAAATTTGTGTCCATTAAAGAAGTTTTACTGGGACACAGTCACACTCATTTGTTTGTGTATTGGCTGTGGCTGCTCTTGCCTTACAATGGCAGGACTGACTAGATGTGACAGAAATTCTATGTCTCACAAAACCAAAAATATTTACTCTCTGGTCCTTTGCAGAAAGTTTGCCATTCCCTGCTGTGTGCTCCTTCTGGGCAAGTCATTGAATCTATGGATTCAACTATTGCCTCTGTGCACGAACTCTCATGCTGGAATGAAACAGAAGAAAGAGGAGAAATGGCACCCTCCCCCACACCAAGTTATAATAGTCCCACCAATAAAATCCCAACAACGCAGACAGGGAACACATTACACCTGTCAAAAAAGTGGCAGAATCTGAAGCATGGTAGTCAGTGGAACCGGCCACAGTCATTGTGACACACAATTTATCAGTGTGTCTTTTTCTTTTCCTGAGGTAGTAAAAACATCATATATATTTTTCAAGATGCAAAATAAAAACCTATAAAATCTATGATGACTGAGAAAAGAAAATAAATCTTATTTCAATAAAGCTGGAGGGATTAGCAGATGCCCTGAGTGCCCCCACACTCAAAGCACAGTGTGTGGTATGAACTCATTTAAATAAATATTTGCTGAAAAATGAATGTATGAAAGCAGAAAGGAGGGGCTAACCCAATACAAAAATCAGCATAAGGGAAAATAATATTTAGGAGGTAAAACCCTGTATCAGGCCATTCTTGCATTGCTATAAAGAAATACCTGAGATTGAGTAACTTATAAAGAGAAGAGGTTTAATTGGCTCACAGTTGTGCAGTCTGGATAGAAAGCATGGTGCCAACATCTGCTTGGCTTCTAGAGGAGCCTCAGGAAGCCTACAATCATGGCGGAAGGTGAAGCAGGAGCAGGCACTTCATATGGCAAAAGCAGGAGAGAGGGAGAGAGAGAGAGAGGAGTGTAGGAGGGTAAGTGCCACACCCTTTAAATGACCAGATCTCATGAGAACTCACTCACTATCATGAAGACAGCACCATACTGTGAGGGATCCACCCCAGTAATCCAAACACCTTCTACCAGGCTCCACCTCCAACATTAGGATTACATTTTTTTTTTTTTTTTTTTGAGACAGAGTCTTGCTCTGTCGCCCAGGCTGGAGTGCAGTGGCTTGATCTCGGTTCACTGCAACCTCTGCCTCCCAGGTTCAAGTGGGAATTACATTTTAACATGAGATTTGGGGGCGGTGACAAATACCCAAACTGTATCAAACCCTATACCTGAGACGTTCCTTTTCTAAGAATAAAGAAGGTCAGTGAGCTGGAGATAAACCAAAGGTACATGTTGGTGGAGAGGAGGGAGAAGGACAGGCAGGCAGAAGGCAATTACAATCTCCAGTATTCCAAGAACACTCATGTTTCAGAGTTTCCAAAGCTTGCCTCCCAGGTGCTGAGCTTGCCTCTGAGTGCAGCTTCTAATTTTCCATTTATTTTTCCTTCCTTCATCTTCCTTCACAGAAGATAATTTGTTCACATTTTTTTTTGCAAATGAGATGACAGAATGCAATGCATATTCCAATGGCATACTTGAAGAGTTTTAGATCTTCTCTAGTTTTAGAATCATGTGTAAGCTGTTTTAGGGCCTATACATATTTGCTTCAGAAATGTATCATGAACATTAATTGATATTTTTCTATTTCATTATTGCTTTCGGAGAATTTGCTGCCCACTTTAATAACTGAAAATTTCTAATATAATTACTTAGTTATGGTTAATTTTTCTTAAACAAAATTGTAATCTTTTGCAGAATTCACTTTAAAAAAAGATATAATCAATTCATTGCCATGTTCTTAAAGATTGGGTGCCCAGCCAGCTTTTGTGAGGCAGAACAGACTGGAATCTTTTCCACCTGTACATCTTGACAAAGTTTTCTTTGAGTATATCTTCTTTCCTTCTTTTAAATCTATTATCTTTCGTTACCTATGGCCCTTCTCTGTCTGTTTCTCTTTACTCTGTTTTCCTTATTTCCTTAATGCAGGGACAATGCTATTCATCTCTACATCCCTCACATAGTAGTTGCTCAATAAATGCTTGATATAGTGATGGATGCTTTTGTTCTTCCTTTTTGTCCTCTTTCATCCATCTCCTTCCTCACACTCCTCCTGTTTTGCTCAGAGGGAATAATATACATTTACTAAGTCATAACCTTAGTCCCTTATATGATTCTGCTTTGCCAAAGAACTTTGTGCCCATCTGTTACCCATCTGGTTAGTGTCATCTTTTGGTCACACCAATCTTTACCCTGATGATATCCAACTTCCCTAGCTTCTAGCCCTAACCCAACACTTCCCAATGTATGTTCTGTGGAACACATTAATGAGATATTAATTTGTCTAATGTAAAAAACAATTTGTGATCAAATTAGAGAAATATGTTGTAAAACATTTAAATTATTTGTAGTGAGATTTTTCAAGTCTTTCAATATGCAAATGAGCAATGAGAATCTTTAAGAGCAGGTATAGAATGCAGTACTTTTTAGATGTTTGACCAAAGAATTTCTCTCCCTCTTCCCCCAACAAAGAACTTCTCAACGGACGCAATTTGCAAAATGCAAAATGCAAAATGTTTGTACTCCTCACTTAGGATACAGACATCTGCTGGACTAAGTTTATCCCCTGCCAGGAAAAGGGACTGAAATTGACATTGAAATTCAATAAGGGAATTAATATTTATTGAGAATCTCTTCCGTTGCAGACACTATGCCAGGAACTTCAAAAATATATATTGACATAATTTTCTCATTTAGTACATATCCTTCTGTTAATACTATGAGGCTGATATTATTCCCATTTTATAGATAGTGAAACAGTAGCTCAGTTGGTTAACCTAGCCATGGCCAACTAGCTAGTAGGTGGCAGACCCAGCATTCCAGCCTACATTTGTTTGAAACTAAAGCCAGAACATTTTCCTTTCCACTTGGCTGCTTGAGGAACTGTGGCAACTATCAGCCAACCTATCTCATATGTAACAGTAAAAATAGGCACAAACACAATTTTTTAAAATTAAAATTTATTTATTTTAGAGATAGAGTCTCACTTTGTTGCCCGGGCTGGAGTGCAGTGGCCTGATTATAGCTCACTCTAACCTTGAACTCCTGTGCCCAAGTGATCTTCTCACCTCAGTCTTCTGAGTAACTGGGATTACAAGTATGTGCCACCATGTCCAGCTAATTTTTTAAAAGATTGTGTAAAGATGGGCGTGGGGGTGGGGGTGGGAAGGCAGAGGGTGGACCTGGCTATGTTACCCAGGCTGGTCTTGAACTCTGGCCTCAAGTGATCCTCCCATCTTTGTCTCCCAAAGCACTGAGATTACAGGCATGAGCCACCACATCTGGCAAAAACATGACATTTAAAAAGTTTTAGACCAATTTTGCATAAGGAACTAAGAGAACCAGGCAAGACTACTGGGTATGGTTGTGCAGATTGTACACTGCACCATTCGAGGGGAAGCCATGTGACTGGCACCCCCTAAAATAAAGTGCTGTCTTCAACGTCAGCAGCCATATGTGCAGCTCTGGAACAGGAACAGATTGGGAAAGGTAGCCAGGTGCCATGGTACTTTGAGTTTTCAGATGCAAATATAAATTTTGAGCAAGAAATTAGGACAGAATGGCAACCAGTTTTAGGAAAATAATATATGTAAAAACTCACCTCGAAACAGGTAATCAAAACTTGCACATAGTACAGTATTGGCAAGAGAGGACTGGTACATCCTGATAAGCCAAGAGTTTGGAGTCACTTTTTATTATATTCATAATCACTATGTTCCTAATATCTATGGATTCACTCTCCTCCCTTTTTTTTTCTTTCTCCTTTTTTCTTTTTACCATCTTCTGTCTTTTCCAGATGTTTCATTTGAGCTGCTCTGCTCCCCACTGGTGGCTGAGCCAGGCCTGACCAGGGCAGGAAGGGTGATCAGTAGCCTCACACACAGCAGCTGGTAGAGTCTGAAGGTCACGCTTGGCCTTCCACCAAGTGTCCAATGTGCTGGGGATTAGCCTCTGAATCACAGCCTTTCCCTTCTCCTGCCATGTTGGCCCAGCCATACAAGAGGCTCTCTCTGCCCAGCACACAAGTCCCTTGCTGTGACTGGCATTCTGCTGTGAAAACCAGATTACTTATTAGACTTTATCTTCAGTGAACCTTTGACTAACTTCTGCATGGGACTGGAATATGATCTGCATACCTTTCATTACTGGCCAAGATTTTCATTGTGCATATTGGAAAGCATACAGACTTTGGTGTCAGATACTCAGAGGAACAAAGTCCAGCCTTAACAATTACTAGCTGTGTCACCTAAGACAAATTACTCAACTTTGCTGGACTTTGCCCTTCTCATCTATGAAAGGGCGTATTAAGGAATGGCTCACATGAAGGATATCATCTATATGGGTTTGTATTACTCCTCCCTTGTTTTTCTGAGGAGGTCCCATGGAGTAGATATTGGTTACAGTGTTTTCAGTTGCAGGAAATGGTGACTCAATTCAAAGCAATTTAAACAGATAGGATATTTCTTGGCTCATACAAAACAAAATCCAGAGGTAGGACAGCCACAAATCTTGTTGATCCTCCTGCTTAATTATGTCATCAATAAACAATGGTCCCTCTGTCTCTCCACACAGCAATCCACAAAGAAGACTTCATCCTAAGGTAAATGCTCTACTTAGTAGTATGGTTGCTTTGAGTAACAATTGGTGTCATGTGCTTCTCTGTTCACTTCCAGAGGGAAAATCAACATTTCTCACTGATCTTTGGAGCCCAAGTTCTTCCTGTTCATTTCCTTGGACCAATTTAAGTCATATGCTCTTCTTGAATCAATAATTTTAGTAGGGAAAGGCTAGATGCTGACTGGTCTAAGTTCCTGAACCACCACTGGTTAATGAATCACCATGATTGACTAAGACCAGTAAAAACCATTCCTAACTGTATTGCAGGTATCTAATGTGGAAGGGGTGGGGTGAAGGTTGAAGAATCAGACTGTACAGGGTGAAACGCTTGAGCTTTGGTTTATATCCCTACCTGGCAAGTACCAATGGGGTTACAATTTCTGAACTGCAATTTATCCATCTAGAAATGGGGGATAAAAATAGTACCTCTCTCACTGGCTAGCTTCACAAGATTTGTGACGCCCTTAGCCCTGAGCTTAGCAAATTGTTTACAAATTCTAGGTGTTATTATTTCTTTATATGCCTAGAAATGTGGTGCCACTTGCTATATTTGTTTGTTACTTGATTCCTGGATTCCTACCACGGACTCCTCTGCACCAGGGTTGCTGAATTCCATCTGCACATTTCATGCCCTCTCTACATTGTACCTCTGACAATTCAGTTGCTCATGAAGGGTTGACTGGATTAGTCATTAGTCCCTTCTCTCTTTCAGTACTGCCCCATCAAATCTAGACTTAAAACTCTTAAGTCCTCCCCAGTGACACAGGGTATTGAGGTCCCAGCTTGCTTTGTGCCAGGGTGTGATGGTTGGTTTTGGGTATCAACTTGACCAGATTAAGGGACACCCAGATAGCTGGCAAAACATTATTTATTCTTACTACTTCAGTAGGCACTGAACTTGTTCCTCAAAGCCAGGTGACTTGGAGTTTGGTTAAATGATTGGGCTGCCCGAGGTGTGAGGACGTTTGCAGAGGAGACTGGCATGTAAGTCAGTGGGCTGAGTGGAGAATATCCACCTTCAATGTGAGTAGGCACTCTCCAGTTGGCTGAGGGCCTAGATGGAACAAAATGGGAGGGGAAGGATGACTTCTTACTCTCTCTTCCAGAGCCAGGATGCCCATATTCTCCTGCCCATGGAGGTTAGACCCCAGATTCTCCCATCTTTGGACCCCAGCACTCACACCAGTGGACCCTTGGGCTCTTGGACCTTTCGCCTTGAACTGAGATTTACACCATTGTCTTCCTTGGTTCTAAGGTCTTCAGACTTGGACTGAGCACACTGCTGGCTTCCTTCATTCTCCAGCTCGCTGACAGCCTATCATGGGACTTCTCAGCCTCCATAATCAAGTGAACTAATTCCCCTAATAAGTTCATTTTCCCCTCTTTCTATATATATACATATCCTATTGGTTCTGTCTCTCTGGCAAACCCTGACTAAATCACAGAGCAAACTCATATTTTGATAATTTTCTTGGTAAGCAAGAAATAATAAGTAATGATCATGAACAACTAGCTTGGCAACCAGGGACCTCTATCTATGCCAGAACTAAACATCTCCTATTGTTCTCATTGCTAAGATGCCTACTACCCACAAGTGAATATTTGCGTGTGACACCTGCATTTAGGCTAGACCTACTTTATTCACATCCGAAACAATATCATTATTGCATTGCTTAGAGTCTTGTTTCTTCTTGGAGATAGTGTTGTCAAATATTACATATCCTCACCTGTTTTTAAATTCCCATGGGTTGTACCACTTCTTAAATAGGGTCTTCCTCTTTTGCTGTGTCACTGTTATCTTGAAATATCAAACAAATTTGGTATTACTTTTTCCATTTACTTTCTTTGATAGCATGCACAATTTTTTTTTTAGTCTAGCCAGTAATGTTCTGAAAGATGTAGTGAATTCCATAGGTTTGTTATGTTCTCATATTTTACTTTCTAATCCTTTGTTTCTCTTTCTTGGTCCTCCCCATGGTAGCTTGGAAGTGACACACAACTGCAGCCCTTTAAAAAAGTAGACTGTGCTTGTGGTGGTGAACAGCTCATGACAATGGCTCTTGGCTGTCCAAACCATTCTAAGAGGATATGGTGTCTAGTCTGTTGTGAAAGTCCAGGGAGACCCAAAGGCTACAGTGGCAGTTTCAAGCTGGCATATGGATAGGCGTAAAGGTTACAAACAGATGGTAGATGGAGTTAGAAGCAAATATTTTCATTTTCAAAACAGCAGACACAGCACCAGGCACCTAAAGGCAGTGTTTCATATTGCAGTGGGGGAAACTTGAGCTCAGTGGCAGGCTTTGGCATCACCCAAGAGGAGTGGCGAGCTGTCCACAAAGGCAGCATTTGGAAGGGCAACCCTCTCCTCCCTGGGCCACATTCACAGATGTGCACTGCTGGCGGAGACCCTGCTGGCTAGGATGTAGGTCTGGGAGGGAAGTGGTGTCCTGAGGGCCCAGCCTTAGGACACTTACCCAGCCACAGGACTGGGCTTTAGTCACAGATCATATACAGAAATGGCACCAGACAAATGTTGAAAAGAGAATATCTCTCCCCTCATCCCCAGAATTTTGTCTTAAAGAGTAACACATGCTACTTGTACGTATGAAGGAGAAATACCAAAACCTAGGTGACAGTTACTGCTGAATTATCAGAAGACCAAAGAGAGGGGGGATTTTACTCACCTTAACCTACTGGTGTTACTTTCTCCGCTTTATACTGACTTGTGTGCAGCTGCCCCCAGGAAGCATGATGGTCACCTAGAGTCCAGTGTTGTTTAAAAGAATCACAGCTGCGTACTTTGATGTAGACAAAAAAGAGAGAGTTGAGTACAGTTAGGGCAGCTGTGTGCATGCAGTGCGTGTGCACATATGGGAGACACACTTCTCAAAAGGAGACTGTAGACAACACAGCCCTCTTGTGATGAGAACAGCATGGCCCTTTTGCTCGGCTTTCTTTGAGGCTGTGCTGTAAGGGTGCTTCTCTTTCCAACCCTGTTGGAATCTATAAACTTTCTGGGACCTTGGTCCTTGGCATGTCTGCCTGGGGGTTTTTGCTTAGAGGATACTGCTGCTTATCTTGCTCACTCCTGATGGCTCACAGTCTCTTTCTGCTTACTTTTGCATCAGGGCTGAGCTTCTGTGACTCCTTCGGCCCTCCAGCCACTGCGGAAGTTATAAGCCCTCAAGAGACAGCAGAAAGATTAAAGGGATGAGCCTCTGAAATTGTATGAATCTGGGGCTTTGGGGAGCCGAGCTTGATTTACATTGGAGCTTTGCTGGAATCATTTCCCATGGACATATTCAGGAGGCTGTTGGAGGCTTCCACTGCCCTCCTCCTTTTCAAGGTAGCTATTTCAGAAAGTTAATTAACCTGGGATAGTTCCCTCCTTTGGAGCTTGAGAGAGACCCAGAATTTGTCTTTTTAAAATGACCCATATCCTGGAAAATGGGGAAGACAAATCCTCATCTTCATCCTCTTTTATCTTAGTAGGCTCATTTTTTTCTTCAACTCACGATAATAATTTAACTCCCCTCTTTTAGATTTATTAACGTACATATTTATTAGTTGCTTGTTTTGTACAAATTGCTATGTTAGGGACTCTGAAGAATATAAAGAAGTAGAAAACTCGGTCTTTGACCTCAAGGAATTTGCAATCTTAATGTGATTATAAAACTTGAAATGATAACTGACACATTTTAGACTATGTTAAGTCTCAGATGACTGGAATAGGTGACAAATGCCGTAAGAATTTCAGCACATATTTCCCTCTCTCTCATCTTTGTCTTTAGAGTTAAGCAGTGTGAGTCTGAATCTTGAGTCACACTCCTGTGTGACCTTGGACAAGTCACTTGTCCTTTCTAAGCCTCAGTTTTTCATCTGCAAAAGGGGAAGAAATAATGCGAGCCTCTCAGGAGTTGACTGAATTAAATAATGTATAAAAAGCATTTAACACCTTCCCTTGCACATACGAGTGCTCAATAAAAACTGTTATTATTGTTAGTTACCTAGCAATTTTATGTACTCCTCAATGCTGTGAGTAGACATATGAGAGAAAGCTCACAGATACTGACTGCATGGCTAATATAACATTTTCAGACTTTTCAGTGATGTCTGCCTCTATGGAGCTGAAACAATATTTAAACTCTCAGTATCCCTTGCTTTCCACTCTCTCCATGGTTTAATCACTAAAATAAATATGGGGTAATTAAATAAGTTGACCCAAGGCTATACCAAATGAAGTGACCCAGACCCTGGACAGCTATCGATAAGGACAGAGTCAGAGGGGAGAGGTGGCAATCCTAATAGAGGAAAGATATTTCATAAAGCCAGCACCAATCCCTGCATTCATGGAGGGTGGTAGGAGAGAAGGAACATACAGGAGTTCCTAAGTCTTATTTTAACCTGTTGCGTGCCATGTTATATTTCTGTTCCTTAATTTAGTAGAAAATCTTTTTTTTTTTTGGTGACAGAGTCTCGCTCTGTTGCCCAGGCTGGAGTGCAGTGGTATGATCTTGGCTCACTGCAACCTCTACCTCCCAGGTTCAAGCGATTTTCCTGCCTCAGCCTCCTGAGTAGCTGGGATTACAGGTGTGCACCACCACACCTGGCTAATTTTTGTATTTTTAGTAGAGGTGGGGTTTCATCATGTTGGCCAGGCTGGTCTCAAACTCCTGACCTCAGGTGATCCACCCGCCTCAGCCTCCCAAAGTGTCGGATTACAGGTGTGAGCCAATGTGCCTGACCAAAAATCTTTTTATCCTAACACTTGTAAGTACTGATGCCCCAGGAATAGGGCCTGTGAGGACACAGATTATGAATGCTAACAGACATAGAAGTAAAACTCTCCCTTCCTATGCTTTAAAACATCCCTAAAACTCACCACCACTGTCTTGCTCAGTGCGGGCTTGGTAACTAACAGCTTCATGGGAAGATTTCCTTTTGCCTTTGAAAAGTGCTCTCCCAGTGGCTTTGAGAAATAGCTGATTCCTCTCCCACAGGCCAGCGGTTCCCTTTTCCCACAGGAAGCCCGCAGCAGCAGCAGGTGGGAAGCCAGGGAACTTTTGAAAGCTGATTCTGTTTGTGCTTTACCTATCGCTCCCTTTGAAGGTACTGTGGAAAAGAGAGCCCATAATGGAGGTTCTAACAACTCTCCAGTTAGTTTTAAAAATGATTCAGCCTATGAAATTGTTTCCAGGCCACAGGGCTTTTCCCAGCTCTTCCTAAACTGTGAGCTCAAAGCAAGGACAGCAAAGGACAGAGCTCAGACAATGCTCCCAGTCTGTTTCTGGGAATGTGCTGTCTCCTCTTAGGCAGAACAGTTTACTCGGAACCTGTACTAATCTTCAGGGCTGGTTTATTAGCATGCACCCTAAGGCCTTTCACCTGGCAGCCAGAAGGGCATTTAGTATCAATACAGCATCCCCCATTTAGGTGTTTAATATGATATCCAAATGAACTTCTAGCCAGCCAGAACTATGGGGATCCAAGGACAAGACCAAAAGATGTTTATATATCATTAAACTGGTGACCCAGTAACAAACCACACCATCCAAAGAGGGTGAGTGTGTGTGTGTGTGCGCACACACAGAATTATACAAATTTCACGTGAATAGCACAATCATATTACACTGTATTTTGGAGGGCTTCAAGGTATTCAATTGTTTAATGCTGATGTATAAATCATCTCACAACTTTTGTAACTTTGATTTGGCATTCTTCATACACACACAATACACACACACACATACACACATACATATATATGTGTAGTATGCTTGCAGCCCAGAAACTGAGAGTGACCTAGGACTGCTTTTTATGTTTAAGAGGCCTGGTTGTGCAGCAAAAATCACAGCAAGTCTGAATTATGCTGACTATAAACTAAGAATACAAGGTACCCAATATGGCAAGTACAAGGGTATTTACGGCAACAAGAAGGCACATTAATCAAAGTGGGAACTGTTTTGGAAATTTAGATGGAACGCTGTCATAACTATAGATGTTTGGAAATTTCTTCTGGAAAGTGAAGCTCACTCTAACACCAGGGAGACTTCTCATCATCCCCCTTTTCCTCAGCATTGGTAGGTCATTTTAATCTCTTAAAAATCACGTCATTTTGCATTCATCCATTTCTCATTTCACAGTGCCTACTATGCACCAGATACAGTGGATGTAAAAGCAACTTGTACGTTGTTTGGTTCTATTAAACATTAATGATTATTATTAAGAGTTTAGTACAGACTTCATCCAATGACAGCTATGGTATGGAGTTCTGCAAATCTCAGAGACTAGATCTAGTAGTAACTTGAAATCGGGAGTGTCAATATTCTTAGGTGAACCTAATCAAACGTGAACAGGGAGGACTGCATCCCCGAGTTGAGGACTGCAGTGTTTGCTGCCTAAGTGCACGGGGCTGAGCGTTTGGCTCTGAGAGGTGTTTTGGAAATATTTGAATTGGCCTGAATTCTCACCTATGAGGCAAGACTGTGCACTCTTGATGTAGACTGTTTGCTGTGGTTGCAGTTGCCGACCCTGCTCCTCTCACTTTAAAAGATATGCTTGGAGAGGCTGTTCTCTCCTTGTGTGTGTGCCAAAGGGACACCTTCAGCAGCAAAGAATTTGAAAGCAAGTGTGTGTGTGTCTGGGGTGAGGGGAGAATGAGGTGGGGAAGAAACCCTACTTCTCTGATCGAGATTCCAGGGAGGAGATAAAACGCCCTTTAAGAAAACAAGAAATTAGCCATTAGTTCTACAAAGATGCATTTCACCAAAGGAGGAACTTCTCTTTGTTCAGGGGAAATACTTTTTTTTTAAAAAAAGGTCCTGATTCCAGTTGTTGCCCAAGTCAGTTCCTAATTACGACTGACTGTGGCATAGACCTCTGTGAATCCCCTGAAGTGGTTAGTGAACTGAAACCCAACTTTTAAGAAGATTTGAGATCAAAAGTATAGTTTTATTAAGTCAACTTAAGATTACATGTTCTGGAAAAAGGCATATTGAGTCTGTGGATAAGAAATAATAATTACATACCTGAAGAACCAAAAGGAGAAGAAAAGGGGACTGGTTGATTTATCCCATTACAGATGCAGTGTCTTCTAGCTAATCTTCATTTCTTTTCTTTTCTTATTTGGTCTGCTCTGCCCTCCATGGGGTTATTCACCAAAGAGTGAATTGTGTCATGCACTGGGGTCTCATGAAAACTAGAGATAGAAAACCTAATCCTAAATTCTTCTCTTTGAAGAAAACACCTTTCTGAAAGGCTTCTCAGGAGATGCAGAGAGCTGTGGTTTTGAGTCTCTGTATCGGAGCCATTCCCCTTCTCCCTCCCACTCTCTAGCCTCCAAGTTTCTATGGTGATATTTCCTCTTCACAGTGATCAGTAGTAGTAGTAATAATAATAATAATAATGCAATGTTAACAGAAGAAGCAAGCAGTAATAACTCAGGGCTAAAGAAGTCTTCATACTAAATAATTTTAAACCTACAGAACAACTTCAGCTTTACCTCCTGAGATGCTATCTTGTAGCAGGACATTTTTTTTCTTTTTTAATTTTGCATGGTATAAAGTTACTAATTATGTAAGTTGAGAATTAGACATATATCCAGTTTCCATTATCATCCTACAGAGAAACAGAACGCTGAATTCTAGTGCCAAATGTATCATTTAGAGTGCAACATCAGTTCTTCAAAGAAAAGCATTATTTCTTGGGCTGGGGAAGAAGCAGTGAAAATCACAGTTTACACGAACCATTTGATCACTGTCTAGGTTAAAATGGGTCATTCTCTACCTTTGCTGAGTTCACTTAGGAAAAAGAAAAGAAAAAGAAAATGGGTTTTCTCCTGGTTTTGTTATTGCTGTGATGTTCCTTTCTTTGCCATGCTAATGGCTTCCTGCGTGTGTGTGTGTGTGTGTGTGTGTGTGTGTGTGTGGCTATTAATTCACTCACTTGCACTTTGTGTCTGTAGCATGCTTGTCTAATCTGTGTCTACCTCAGAGACCTTAGGGCCAAGGCTATCACCTATAGCTCTATGGACAGTGCCCTGCACAACCCCACTGTAACAGGGCAGTGAATCCTTGAATGAAAGTCTATACCACTGCCAAGTTTAATACGGCCTCTAACATAAAAGAAAAAAAAGCCATCCTCTTTCTCTTGTGCAAGGAAATAGGTTAGATTAAGCAAGAACAAAGTCTTAGATAAGATGGAAGGGGGTCTATTGAGGAAGTGGCGATGTTTTTATCTTTGGTGGTCAGTGGGATTTTAACAAAGAATCAAAGTAGTGCTGCCTGGCCTTAGGTAGATGAGGTAGTTTTATAGCCTGAGCACAGGTCTGGGAGTATCCAAAGACCTCAAGGCAGCTAGGGAGTACTGGGGCCTGAGCAGGAGGTAGCCCTCCCTGCCCTGGGTCACCCTAGCTCTACTTTTCTCTTTGGTTGGAAACCCTTTGGTTCTAGCAATGCCACGGCCATCTCTCAGAGTGAGTGTGGCCAGGAGAACCAAAGAAACTTATCCTCTTCATTTGCTTTGCATTTTCTGCATTTCCGATTTTCCCAGACTTTTAATATATTGAATCATGCAACCTTATGCATTCTGCTAGAACTTTTAGGTAGTAGCAGAGGTTCTAATTTGATTCTATTTTAATTGTTTTGGGGGTTGTGCCCAGACATGGACATTTTTATAAAGCTCTCAGTTGAGCTTACCATTTCTCGAGAGTGGAGAAAGGCTAGGATGAAGCCAGTGAGTGAGCTAGGGTTTAAATCCAGACTGCCAGGCTGGGGCTCTTGACTATCTACTTGCCCATTCTGCATTCTTGCCCATTCTGTATTACCAGTGCACTCCTTCCAGCCCTTCATTCATCCCAATTCTTTACAAAACTCCATTGGACATCTTTCAGTATGGCCACTCTTAAAGTTGGAGACCCCTCTTGGCAACTAGAACAATATGTATGGGAAGGGGCAGATTGTTTGGCTGGGCTAATTGCCTTCATGTGACCTAGTGCTCCTTCTTATGGGACAGGCAAGCCAGTCTGCCCCCTCCCCAGGACCTCCATTTTAGTGGGTGCTATCAGACCAATCCTTGCCTTTGAGAGTACTGTGAGGTCTGTACCTAGACTTAGGATGATTGAAACATTGTCTGAATGCAATCCGAATGCCTTTATGGAATGCTAGATTCCAACTATGCATCCAAGCTGGCAGAGGAACAGATGGCAGCTTGTCGCTCAATCTGGACTTATAGGAAAAATTATCAGAGAATGCAGTTTTGCTAGTGAGATGAGCAACAGCAGAAATTGCACTAAGTGAAGCAATTTGAAGGTTGGGGATTAGTAGGTCTGTGTCTTTTGACTAGACTGCTATAGTTTAATAACTGAGAAGTATACACTGGGTTATGTATTGAGATTCATGTATGTTTCTCAGACATGAATTCATGTATGAGAAATCCTGCTATGGTTTGAATGTCCCCTCCGAAACTCATGTTGAAACTTTATCTCCAGTGTGGCAGTATTGAGGGATGGGGCCTTTAAGAGGTGTTTGGGTCATGAGGGCTTGCCCTCATGAATAGATTAATCTATTCATCGTTGGATTAATGGGTTAAAGGATTAATGAATTATCACAGGTGTGGAACTGCTGGCTTTATAAGAGGAAGTGAAACCTGAGCCGGCATGCTGAGCAACCTTGCTATGTGGTTCCCTGTTCTGTCTGGGGATGCTGCAGAGAGGCCCCACCAGCAAGTCCCCATCTCACCAGATGTGTCCCTGTGACCTTGGACTTCTCAGCCTTCATTACTTAAGAAGTAAATTTTTTTTTTTTAAATAAACTACCCAGTTTTAGGCATTCTGTTATAAGCAATGGAACATGGACTAAGATCCCACCAGATTAGAACATGTATGATCAGTGCGGGGAGGCTCCGGAGGCCTTTGCTTTAGCCCAGCACCATGAATGGCTGTCTGTGGACTTCCACTGGCTCTGCTCCATCTGCATGCTCTGTCAGAGATAATGAAATCAGACAGGCCCACAGAGACTGCTTTCCCCTCCTCACAAATTTTTAATAAAACTCTTTGAACAACAGAGCTGGGCATCTCTGAAGCCTGAAATTGAAGCGATAAGATAGAAGATTACTCACTTGTCAGTCTGCACCAAACTCTGCATCACCAATACAAATTCCAGGGGAGTTTCAAATCTGCCGACAATTTGAGGCTCTCCATCTGGAGTCTTTTCTTTTTTTCTTTTCATAGGAAGAAAACACAGCACTAAGGAAGAGAAAAGAGACACTTCATTCTCTGCCACGAACAACATGTGAATCAAGCCCTGAAACAGGTTTTCACAAAAAAGTAATTTTTGGAGAGAATTGCCTTTGAGTAAGTAAGTGTCCTGGATTCAGACTTCCTGAGAGAAAATGTAATCACAGCTGTTTGGTCAACACCACCCATCCACGTGCCTTTCAGGAGAAATCACCACTGCAGGGGTCCAGCCTTGCTGGGTTCCCCTGTTCACATGAACCTTGATGCCCACGGTCTACCTGGTGCTGGTGAACCAGCACACAGCACACCTGGCCTCATGGAGCTGGTATTCTGGGTGCAAGACCAACAATCAACAAACACATAAGCACCGTCATGTAATGTTAGGTGGTGCCAAGTGCCTGGTGAAAACAATGAAACACATCATGGGGCAGTGGATTATGGTGGAGGACCAAGGATGGGAGAGGGTGAAATATTTTAGATAGAGTTGTTCAGGAAAGGCCTCTCAGTTCCAGGTTATAAATTAAGTATCTATGTAGGCTGGCCCTTTTTACAAAGCAAAAATCTTGCCATTAATTCTGCAAATAAAATTATTCAGTTTTCAAAAAAAGAAAATTTACTAGCCCTAGCTGAAATTTAAGAAAGAATTTATAGTTCTCTCTTTTCCCCACCCTCAACCCTTTCTTTCCTTCTTTCCTCTCTCCTCTTCTTCCCCTTTCTCCTCTTCTCTCTCTCTTTTGTCTAAGTACCAGTGTCTTGCCTTAACTACCTTCTTATAGCCGGGGAAAAGCAAATGCACAATGTCTCTATTCCTTTATAAATGGTTATTTGGGAAATATTTGTAGGGTCCTAAACTCTCTTAATGAGAGAGGAGAAAGTAAGAAACCAGTCAGGCAGGCAGTTAGGGTGAGTCCCTGGTAAAAATTCATTCAAACAAAGAACAGCCTGAAAATCAAACTGCGGGCCCCAGATAAGAAAGAGACTGCATCCTTGAATGGAAACACTTACTCGGTAAACCCAGATGAACAAATTCTACCCCTATTTGGACATGTTTCTCTCTCCTTGGCATGCCTTAGTCACTTATTTTCACCTACTGGTTTCTTACTTTTCACCTATTTTACATATGCCTACCTTTCTGTAATTGGCAGTGGGCTAAGTCTTCATTTACATAGGTTGAGTCATCACTTCAGCCTCTGATTGGTCCCAGGCCAAGGTCCCAAGCCAAACCTTCGCCTTTGCCTCCAATTGGTTCTTTACACTATGATACCTCTTTCTAAGTGGTGCTTTCTCCAAAACAGCCTGCAGACCAGTCAGCACATTCCTCCCCTTCCCAGTCCATTCATACCCTGGACTCAGCCTCATAGTTGGCAACCCTGTTTTGGGCCCTCTCTCCTTGGTTGGGAGCTTTCTTCTTTTGCTTATTAAACATTCATTCCAACCTCACCCTTTGTGTCCACGCTCCTTAATTTTCTTGGTCACGAGGCAAAGAACCCTGGGATACCTGAAACAACAAGAGACTGCTACATTGTGGTGCATTCGCAAGACTGTAACATTAACACTACTCAGAAAACTTGCTACAACTAACTTCTGCTGTTTTGTTTTATCTTTCTGGGTTCCTAGTAATGTAGATTTTATAATGGATATCTGGAGCTCTGGCCCAGACTTCTGTTATGCCTATAGAAAGATCATGGACCCCTGCTGAAAACAATGAGAAAACGACAAACTCCGAATCTGACCTCTGTACTAATGTCATGTTATTTTCCACATGAAGGCATTGCATTTAAATAAGGTACCAATGGTATACTGTAGCCATTTGCCTTAGATTACAATTGTAGTCTTTTTGTGTGTGTGACAAGTTATCTAGGACTATATGAGTCAGTGTTCTGGCAGAAAAAAACAGTTCAACTCCAGAGGTTTGAGTGAAGCAAATGTAAGAGGGGCTATTGTGAAAGGTGTGAGTAGGGTGAAGGGAGATGGTGAGGCAACCAGAGATTAGCAAGAGCAGAAAACCATTATCACCTGCAGAGCTGAAAGGTAGGGGAATGGTGTTCCCAGAGCCCACTGAGAACTAGAGGCCTGGAGAGAGTGGCCTGAGAAGATGCTGCCTTGTCAGAGCTTAGCAGTGAAAGTAGAGGGCAGAGCAGAGGAAAATACCCATATCTGTCTTTCCTCCCACTCTCTAGTCGCAATTCCAATAGAAAGCCAATGGTCCAGTAGCCTAGACAGTGTGTAGGAGTTAGCCGCCTCTGCGGTACAGAACAGGACAGAAAAAGGCAGAGAAGGGCATCTGAGGAGAGCAAACGCAAATCCAGACCCCAGCAACCACAGGGAACACTCACTTGCTCATTATACACTTTGTCTCTGTGCATATCCATGAGCGCTTCTTCAACCACTGATCCGTCTTTTCTTCTTTCTGTTGTAATAGCCAAATATCGAGCAACGTCACACTTGGTAAATGGTCTCCCTGATCAAAGTGCTAAGGTGACCTAATTAAATCAATGGCTTTTAATTTCATCTGTTTCAGCAATTGGCCTGTGAAGGCCTGATCTGACCATGTGTCCTGCTTATGGTCTCTTCCCTCCCCAAGGGCCTCTTTTGTACTTTAAGATAAAAGATAATTTCAAAGGAGTTTAATTATTTTCTTTCTAAGTAAACTCAAAAGAACTTCCTCTTCTATTCCATTTTTAGGCCCCGTCTATAATTTTCTTATTCCCGCTAATAGTTTCTTTCATAAAGAAATATAGGTCTTGAAAGTCGTTGTAAGGTCATTTTCCTGTAGTAGAGATGGTAAAGATGAAAGCACAGCTGTCTGGGGCCCCTCACAGTCTTATTCTTACTGAGGCTTTCCCAATGACTGCATTTTCTGGCTCTGGCTACAATTATTTCATGAGTTACATTACAAACCATTGCAGTTCCTTTCTTAGCTGAAATAGTTTCCTTGGCCTTTGCTGAGAGTTTCTTTTCTTCCCCCATGAAGAAAGAACAGCTCTTGAGAACTTTGCCAAATGCACACATTCACACAAACCCACCCATTAAATCTGTGTTTAAAACACAAAATTGTTCTGCTGATGTTTGTTGTGAAAAATGGTCATTGTCTACATCTTCACCCACTTTTGAAGAAACTGATCTCTCTGCTGTTTCCTAGAAGAATTCTTTCCTTTGTTGTGCTCTATGTGTGAACAGAGAGAAACAACCTTTAAAGTGATATTGATCCCCTGGCTTTACCAACTCAAAGCCCTACAAAGGGCATGTCAGCTCGTCTTGGAGCTGAATAGCATTACTAATTAAACTCAAGATTTATGCTTCTGTTCATCAGAGAGTACTTCATAAGCACCTCCACCTAACCCGCTCTGTAGCCTGAGACTAAGGAGGGCATGCATGAAAGAAACCTCATGAATATTAAGTGATGCTTTATTGAGACCCTTGAGGCCTTGCCAATGGCATGGGAAGCATGTCATTCTTCATTTGTAGCTCTTGAACATTTAGGTGGTCAATCCTGCAGAGAAAAATATCTACCCACAAAAATATATCTCAGCCCATTCCAAATTAAATATTGTCAGCCCCCTCTCTCTTCACCCCCAAGTCACCAGAAGTTAAGTTAGACTCAGGAAGGTAAGAATTCAGTATAGATGTTTTCACTAAGTGCTAATGAGCTGTGGTATCAGAAGCTGTAAAAAAGCCATCAAGATATTAGCCAAAATCGGAGGGAAGAAAGTTCACCCAAAGCACAGCTGCTGAAATCATTATATTCTTCAGGTACCATTTTACAAACAGTCTATTCCCAGGCCTGATGTCTGAAATAGGGAGTTTGCTTGTCTTTACCAGTTTAGTTTCCTAGGCCTGGAATATGATACCAAGATCAGGGTAACAGGTCTTCCGTATTAGGGCTCTCCAACCCCCCGGGCTACAGACTAATACTGGCCCCTGGCCTGCTAGGAACCGGGTCACCCAACAGGAGGTGAGCAGCAGGCAAGTGAGCATTACCACCTGAGCTCCACCTCTTGTCAGATCAGCAGGGGCATCAGATTCTCAGGAGCACAAACCCTATTGTGAACTGGACATGTGAGGGATCTAGGTCGCGTGCTCCTTATGAGAATCTAATGGCCGGTATGATCTGAGATGGAACAGTTCCATCCTGAAACCATCCCTCCCTCTACCCCCATTTCACCGTCACTTTCCCTCACCCTCCTCAACTATCACACCCTCCCGCACCGCCGCCACCCCCCACCCTGTCTATGGAAAAATTGTCTTCCATGACACCAGTCCCTGGT